>NC_000006.12:3393333-3544848 GCF_000001405.40 Homo sapiens | reverse complement strand
GCTGAGGAATTTTATTGATAAAAGATAATATCTCTAAAGAAATTGTGGCAGTCATATACACTTACACACCAAATCACATTGCAGAGACCTACTTCTATTGAAAGAAAAATAATTTAGGAATTCAAGGTTATTTTGGTAAAATCACAATGAGCTTTAAAACACTTATATCTAAATTTAATAATTTCATTAGATAAAGAGTTAATACGATTAGAGCATTTGAATTGCTTACACAATAAGCTTTGTTTAGTAGACATACTATTTCTGTACAAAACAGAAAATCTTTTCTAAATGTTAATGGATAATTTATAGAAATTGTTCATAGACTGTGCCTTAAAGAAAATCTTGACAAATTCAGAGGCAAAGATAGATAAATAGCAATTGAACATACCACATTCTGGCAACAAAATATAGCCCTCCACATCTAACCTAGAAATTTAAAAGCATTTATAAATAACTCTCAAATTAAAGATTAAATAATTATACTAAGATTAATTAATTAGAAGATAACATAAAAAAGAACTCTACATTTCAAAGTCCATGGAATGTGGCCAAAACTCTTATCAAAAAAATGCAAAAATTGTCAAAAATACTTCAAAAAGCAGCCTCCTTTACTGTTCCAAGCATAGATTCTGGAGTCAGGTTATGCAAGCTCAAATCCCAGCTTTCCTGCTTACTTAATTTGTGTCATTTTGGAATAATTACCTAACCTCAAGGTGCTCCATTTCCTCATATATAAAATGGGGAGAATAATGTCTATCTTTAGGGTGTTGTGAAAATTAAATAAGGAAATCCATGTGGCCTCCTTTCATAAGTGGTCTCTGAGGAGAAAGAGAGAAAGGGGAGTAGGGAAAGAGACATAGACAGAGGAAAAGATAGCTAGATATCTAGATAATAGATGATAGGTAGATAGACATGGCAGAAGATAAATGATAGACAGAGGTAGATATACATGGTAGAGAGATACGACATAGACAGATATACAGGATAGATAGATATAAGTAGGTGCATGATTGATAGATGATAGATAGATAGATAGATAGATGATAGATATAGATGGATGGATGGATAGACAGACAGACAAATAGACAGATGGATAGATTGATTGATAGATGATAGATAAGCAGAAAAGAGAGAAAGGGAGAAAGATGGAGACAGAGGGAGAGAGAGGGAGAGATTGATCGATTGAGAGATTTCAATTGAGATTTCATAAGTGTCTCTGAGGAGAAAGATTGAGAGATTTCAGCACTGTGATGTGTTGAATCATGTTCTCCAAAATTCCTTTGTTGATGTTCCATCCCCCAGTACCTCAGAGAGTGACTGTATTTGGAGATAGGACCTTCAAGGCGTTAGTTTAAGTGAGGCCACGGGGGTGGACTGTAACTCGACATGACTGGTGTCCTGTAAGAAGAGGAGATGAGGACACAGACATGCACAGAGGGAGGGTGCAGGGAGAAAAAGCCATCTGCAAGCCAAGGAGAGGGGCCTCAGAAGAGACCAACCCCCCTGACACCTTGATCTTGGACTTCCAGCCTCCAGAACTGTGAGACAGTAAATGTGTGTTGTTGAAGCTGCCCAGTCTGTGTATTTGTTACACAGCCCCAGCACACTATAATACAGACAGTGCCAGCAAACCTGCCCTCCACACCTGGCGTGGACACCATCAGAAGATGGAGTTCCACTGATCCTGCAAGCCTTGGTTGCCGGGTTTTGCGTGGTATGAGACACTCACCGAACCGAGTGTAGGTCTAATGTTAAATACGTATATTTTATACAACACCGCCCCTGAAGAAAACAACCCTCCGCTCCCAAGTACTGAAGTGGAAAAACAGATTAAATCCAATGATGGAGGGAAAATGGTCTCCGCAGGCCTCACTGAGTCCAGCATTCCATCCACTGTGCTCTATGGTCAGTCTGGGGGATTTTTCAACTGCAATTAATCTACATGCAATCTCGGCCCTATGGGCTACTTTAGAGCTTCACCTTTACCTCAGCTGTCACTCCACGGGATGGTGTGGGTGGCATCAAGGTTGGTGGTGAGAGAGAAATCCACAGATAGATCCCCAGAAACACACACACACACTGTGTGTTCAGCACGTGGGGTGGGGGCTCCACCCTCCTCCCTTGGCGATTCCTCCAGGAAGAAGTTTGCATCCAACAGCAAAAGAGGCAACAAAAAATCACTATCAATAGCTGAGCAAAAGTAGAGTTGCCCCCTCTTGCCAGTGCTGGGCTTTCAGTAGAGTCTGCTAAGGGGAGTCTACACAGCTAGGGTCCACCTCACTGCTTTATAAACCAGGGCGCCCCAGGGTCGGCTGCAAGCTGTTGACCTATGTCCAGGGATCTCTGACTGCTGAGGTTCAGAAGGTGGACGCACATGTTCTTCCTGTGCGTGGCCCAGGGGAAAATGCTGAGGCACATTCTACACAGTGCCTCAGAAGGTCTCTGGGGGAAGGAGCTCTCCATGCCCTCAGTGGGGATCAGCTTGGTAACTCTCCCCTGAACTGGCTTCCCCTCTGCCTCTGACTACCTTCCTTCTCTCACACTCCCGTTCCCTGGAATTGTTTCCCAAAGCCACCTGCACACAGCCCTGCTGCAGGCTCTCTAGGTACTCCACCCACTGGAGGACAGGTGAATCAGTACCACAGGCTTGGAGCCCAGTGTGGTGACACACGGTAAAATGTAAGGATCCAGAGCCCTTGACTCTATGGCTCCTCCTCTAGAAATGTATTCTGCAGAAATGTGCATGAGAACAAAAAGATAAACCCTTCCATCCATTAGGATGAATCCATTTACTGTGTTTGTTCATCCACTTCTGTTCATCTGTTTGTATGTTCTGTTCCAGGCAGGTGGTGACAAAGGCAGATAAGGCGCCTACTCTCTTTGCATTTGGGGAGTTAGGCAGGAAGCAACACATGAATGCACCAGCATAGCCTCACCATCATTGTTCTTGGTAGGAAAAAAGAAAAAAAAGAAAAACTAGAAACATCCAAAATTAAAGGAAAGGGGTTAAATAAAGTATATTGTGTCCTTACGAAGGATTAGCATGAAGCCATTAAAAAGAAGCCGGTCTACAAGTACCTATATGGAAAGATGGGAAAGACTTATTCAGTGAAGAAAGCAAGTTGCAGAACTTACGTCTAGAGTAAGTCTGTTGTTTTAAAGTGTTACGTATTTACACTCATACATTCACACACACAGCTACCAGGATTATATCTGAAATATTCTTGATGAATTTTTCACTTTTGCCTAAGTACATAAACCATTAGCATCCCATCCCTAGACAAGATCTGGGTTTGCTGCAGGAAGAATACAAAGAGAAAAGATAGGAATGGCTAGGAATGCAAGCAGGGCCTAGGCACGTATCTGCCTCTCTCTGATCTAACTCTCGTCAAACAAATAGTCACGCAGAATAAGCCTAATCAGTAAGATAATTTGTAAGCTGGGTTATTGTCTTGAAAGAGAATGCTCCAGAGGTTTTTATCCCCCTGAGGGCTCTCTTGTGTTGGAGAGAAGAGGCGTCTTTCCTTTAGTCCCTCTGTCAGCTAAACCAGGAGACTTGCAATTCAGCAAACGGTGGTTTGAGGTAGGAGAGAGGAGCGGAGGACAGGAAAGGAAGAGAGAAGGGCCTCTGGGTCAGAAGTCCAGGTCTTATTTTTCTCCTTTCTTGGCTTGAGCCCAGAGCGGTAGAAGCACATTCACTAAATGAAAGTGACACTTTTACAGCAGGCTTCTTCCTCTGCTGCCTCTCCAGGACTTTGCAAAGTGCTCCCTCCCGGCTGGGCGCAGTGGCTCATGCCTGTAATCCTAGCAGTTTGGGAGGCCAAGGTGGGTGGATAACCTGAGGTCAGGAGTTCAGGACCAGCCTGGTCAACATGATGAAACCCCGTCTCTATTAAAAAAAAATACAAAAATTAGCCAGGCGTGGTGGCAGGCGCCTGTAATCCCAGCTACTCACGAGGCTGAGGCAAGAGAATCGCTTGAACCAGGGAAGCGGAGGTTGCAGTGAGCCGAGATCGTGCCATTGCACTCCAGCCTGGGCGACAGAGCGGGACTCTGTCTCAAAAAAGAAAAAAGAAGTGCTCACTCCCCAGCCTCAGGAGTGGCCATGTCAACCCGGGGGGCACAGCCACACAGGCAAGGGCAGCCCTGGGTTGGCCTCAGCGTCATGCGGCATTGACACTGGGTGGACATGCACTGGCCGGCCACAGGCCTACTATGGCGGGATGTGGGGATTCCAGGTGAGGGGCATGGATGGTGGACAAGATAGAGAGAGGTTTGGGGGTCTGCAGACGGTGGTGCTGAGATGAGCTCTCCTCTGCCAGGGGAAGCCTCTCCTAGGCTCTGCACAAGCCAGGGGAGGACCAAGCTGTGAGTGACACTCCAGGTGCCTGCTGCAGATGCCAGGGGGAAGTGGCCAGCAGGCACATGGGGACACAGCCCAAGAGTGCCAGGCCTTCTGTCTTGCAAGAGGTCATTAACTGCCCCTGCTTTTCCACCCAGCCAGCAGAAATGGGGAGGGGAAGGCAATTCATAAGTCTGGGCATGTTTTGCCTTAAGAAAGTGAAAATTACCTGAAGAAATTGTTTACATTTTCAGATCAAAATTTGGGCCACATTAGACATTAACTTAAATAATTTTTTAATTAAAAATATAGCATCATTAGAAATGTTTCCCCTGCTAAGCAGTGGGTAGGGCTCAGTAGGACGACAAAATTAGATGTCGATAGAGCAAAGAATCTACATGTTTCTCTGCGCTTCTGAGTTGTAGTCTGAGTAAAAAGTCTAATAAGATTCCCAAAGCTTTACTCCTGGGAAGAGGGACTGGACACAGGGGAGTGAGGCCCAAGGCACACTGGGCAGGGATATTTTCCCTTCTCTTTTGTACACCTTATGCTTTTTCAAATCAGGGAATGGAGAGGTATAAAAAGCAGCCCCTGGCAAACATTTGGAAAGACAGTTTCTCTCTTTCATGAAATCCCAACTCCATACTCCCTGGAGTCCTTTGAGTTTTCCCTCTTTCTGGGCCCTTTAATTACCAACTCACATTCAGTTCCTAGTTCTTCTGTCAGTGGCTGTCCAATGGTCGCAAGAGACTTTTGTTTTTCTTTCTTTGCCTAAGACCTATCAAACATCCTGAATTGGCAGGTAATGGCTATGGAAAGCAATGAGACAGTATTACTGCACATTTCATCCCCCCAATAGTTCACTCCTGGCAAATTCACTCGGGGAGAAGCATTATTTAAAAGATATTTGGGTAGGGGATAGAAATAAATGAACAGGCCACTCCAGGCTTCCTGACTGTCTCCCCTCGCCCTTCCTGTCAGCAGGCCTTGTTGTTGGGCTTGACATCTGCAGATCTTCCTTTCAACTCGGACCCACTCCAGACCTTGAGATCCCCAGGGATCATGCAGAGTGAAAGTGAGCTTGCGTCACCCACCTCTCCAGTGGACTAGAGCTCCTCAGGACTAAGATATTCTGGCTTCCTCCAGGGGAGGAGGTAGGAGAAAAATGAATAAGAGGGAAATGGGAAGGAAGAGAAGGAAGCAAACTCCCAGAAGAAGTTTGCATCCAACGGCAAAAGAGGCAACAAAAAATTACCATCAATAGCTGAGCCAAAGTAGATCTAGTTCCTTCTGCATCCCAAGCATCACGCTAGGTAGGTACTCTCACAAAACACGGCTCATTTTTTTTAAGGTGGATTTTATTTTACTCATTTAAACAGCTTTATTGAGGTATAAACCCCACCCACAGAGAGAATATTTCTATCCTCGCTTTTCAAATAAAACCATGAGGAACAGAGAAGTTGAGCAACTTCCCCACCATTGCAAAGGTTTTAGATAACGGGGCAGAGATTTGGTGCAGAACTGTGAAGTCTCTGAACTCCCCTCACCCCACTCACAATAATGCTCCTGTTACAACAAAGAACGAAGAAAACGAGCGTTCCTGGGATGAATCCATATTGCTCCTGTGGAGTAAACCATGACTAGGAATGCAAGCGGGGCTGAGGCACATATCTGCCTCTCTCTGATCTAACCCTTGTCAAACAATGTGATTTCCTTTCCACACCAGAGTGGAGATCCTTTCTCTGCCCTATGGCTGCACACCTGCAGCCTTTGTCCATAATTTGTACACTTTACTTCCTGAAAATACCGGCCTGAAATAGCAAAGATAAGATGGTGCTCCATCTGGGCTCTGTGTCCATGGAAATGTCGGTTTCCTGGCTGACTTCACCCTGTCCCTGTAGCCCTTGTCTGTCATTCCTGTTGGGGGCCATGCCCTGCTTTGGAGTGGTGTGTGTCCCTGTTGGCATGGCTTCCTGAGAGCTGTCACTGAACCTGGGAATCAGAAGTAAACCCAAAGGGAAAGCATCTGCTCCTAAGAGCAGAGGGTCTGATATTCCTTCAGGTTATACCACAAGCAAATGTATGCACAGAGGGCGAGTGCAGGTGGAGTGGCCAGCCACAACCACTAGAGCACAGTGACAAGGCTGGCACACCCCCACGCACCCTCCCTGCTCATCGCAGACCCTTTGTGAATACGTCACTCCAGGAGAAAGGGAAACAAATGCCCTGCTAGGACTTCACCTTCTTCTTCCATGTGAATGTGGGTCATAAGCACACGAGCATGCCTCCCTGAACCCCAGTCTTCTCATCCCAGCCATGCTGCACCCTCAGAGCTGCCCCTGGGGCTGGGGGCCCTTAACACACTCTCAGGTAGGATCCTGGAGGTCATCCGAAACGTGGGATTTTTAATGCTTGTTCAAAAGCCCACAGACACCTCTCTAGGACCATGTCACCAGGTAGCCATTTCAGACGGGGTCTGGGGACAGCTCCACCTCTGAGTGTCTCACTGACTTTTTCATCCACTTTGAATGCTTTCTTTATGTGATGTCAATTTATTGATCTCCTGTTGTATGCCAGAGCGCTCTTTAATGTATCCTCCTCTGCACTCCTCTAGATATCGTCCCAAAGCCAAGGGTTAGCCACTGGGGAGATGGGAAATCCATCTATGTCCTCCGAGAAGCCAGAGAAGACTTGTGCACCAATAGCTTGTACACAAGCCTGTAGTAAGAATGAGGAACACATGTCCCGCTCCTGCCTTTGTGATAAGGCCTGAAGAGGAGCGAAGACCAAGGCCTGAGATAAGAAAGGGTCCATCCAGGCCACCTGTGCTTGTCCAGTCCATGCAGAGCCAAGTTCTCCTGACACAGAAAGCACTGTGGGGGAGCTGGCACGGGGCCCTGGGTTCCACAGCACAGCCCCCCTTCTGAAGCACCTGCTGGACATTATGCATCACCCCCGTCCATGGTGACAGCCAGAGCTCAGGAGCCCCTTTTTTTGATAACAGTTGTAAAAGTCCTACATTGAAAATATGAAAATGTCATTAAGGTAACCTATCAGCTGAAAGGCATGGTCTTATTTTAGAACTATTGTCTGCATTGGGTGTGATATCTTTTTTTTTTAATTTTACTTTAAGTTCTGGGATACATCTGTAGAACGTGCAGGTTTGTTACATAGGTATACACGGGCCATGGTGGTTTCCTGCACCTATCAACCCATCATTTGGGTTTTAAGCCCCGCATGCATTAGGTGTTTGTCCTAATGCTCTCCCTCTCCTTGTCCCCCACCCCCCGACAGGCCCCCGTGTGTGATGTTCCCCTCCTTATGTCTTAACAAACTCCCTGATCCTGGGATAACTCCTCATTCAGATAAGCAGGAAATCATAATAATAGCTAACCTTGTGGACTCTGCCACGTGCCAGGCCCTCAGGACTCAGCATCCACCAGCTCATTAAATACTCAGACAACTTTCCAAGCTGGAAACCACCACTATTCCCATATTAGAGAGGGGGAGCCTGAGGCACCGAGAGGTTTATTAACTTGCCTTAAGGTCCCTCAGCTAGCAGGTGGCAGAGCTCGACCCAGATGGTCGAGCACCGGAATGTATGTGCCTCCATGGAAAATAAATATTTAATTTCCAGCTTTGGGTCCCTAGTAAGATCCTCAGTTATGCCTCAATGAACCAGTGAGATTAGATTAACAGTAGAGTGAGAGGATATGAGGGCAATTTTCACTTGTTCTAACCCAAGAATCCAAACTAGAATCTCTTTTCCCTAACGTCACTTCCAAACTTAAATGGGGCCAACTTTCTCTTGACATGACAACATGGGCCTTTTATTCTGATGAATAAATTGCAATCTCTTAGTATCATGCCACTTGAAATATGGTTTCTTCTTCCCACCCTGAGAAGTACAACATGGCCGCTGGTTATGTAGACTTTGCTGGGTCTTTTGTGGCTCTTTGGAAGGCTGGACAGTTTCTGGGGACTGTGATGGTGGGCATATACGTTTGTGGACATTCCAGACTAAAGAGGAGAAAGTTTGTAATACTTCAATTACCCCTCCAAGTCTTTTCTTATTGTCTATTTTTCAATCAGTTTTATCTGAGAGAAATGGTGATGGAGGTGGTAAGCATATAGCATGATTCTCCCAGATCAGAAACTGTCTGGTGACAGAGCGAGGCCGCACACTTTCCACCGGTGCCTCATTCCAAGGGGGCTCCCACAGAGCTGCTGAGCATGTCCTCTCAGGGTACTGCAAAAGCAGAACGGCCCCGTGTCGCAGCCGGCTCCCCCAGATCCGGCAGATGCATCTTCCCCGTGCATGGGGGAAGAGCCAACAAAGTGGGAGAACTGAGCTTCAAAGCTTGAGTCTCTACACTAGAAACAGCAGCTTGGTTTTTCTTCCAGGATTAGAATCATCATAAAAGAAATTGTTCGCCCTGAGAGCCTCATTCACTCCTATGAAATCAAAGCTGAAAAAAATCCCTTCTCTGCCCTTAGGACTTTGTCAGAATGAACGTAGCTGTCATAATTTCTGAATGACTGCTAAGATTCGATAAGATGATTAACGATTAGCGAGGGGAGCTTACCTCTCCCAGCTCTGCCCAGAGGGACTGAATCATAGCGCTGCAATAGAAACGCCAGCGTCCTTTACTAAGATCTGCACTTTAGCAAGAAGCTTACGGCACGACACTAACACACCTCCAAAATCCAATTGCCTCTGCAAGTCCTTGCTGCAAAGGGAAAGAGTTAGAGCTGGTTCTATGAAGCCCTAATTATTTTTAAGTAAAACAAAATGAAGACTATACAGTTTGGGTAAATATGTGCTGTCTGCTGATAAAACTGGGATCTGACATGACCAAAGGGAGTAAGCCCATAATGATTATGGAAGCCGGGAAAAACGCGGTGCTACTAGATTTATCTTCTGTGACTTTGCCAAACTTCATCCCTCAGAATACTTAAAATAAAATAAATTAACTTATGAAACCTCTAAAGCTTTGCCTGCTTTGAAGCCAGGGTTATGTTCAAATCTTGTCATCTGACAGCAAGAATTGATTTCCCATGCTTCAGATTCATAATCTTTCTTAACCAAATTCCCCTTGAGAGCAGAAGTGCTCACTTTCCCGGCTGCAGGAGTGTCAGGGCTGATGGCTCTCAGCTGAACCCTCTCCTAGATGTGCCCTCAGGTGAAGACAATGGCCTGAGACCATGACCCTTCCCAGATGGCCACACCCAATGACTGGACACAGAAGAGCCCAGGGCCTTTCCTCCAAGTATGACAAGGACCATCCCAGCTGTAGAGTTCCCAGTGAAAACTAATCATTTTGTTGCAAGGATAACACAGCTCAGCTTTTGCCTAGTCAGTGTCTAGCCCTCATCCTACCTGTGTAGCAGGCTTGGATCCTGACAGCTGTCCCCAGTAAGCCTCCTACATGCAAATGTCCTTTTCAGAGTCTGTTCCTTGGGGAGCCACAATGATCAAATCTAAGAGACTCACTGACACCACCAAGTGAGTAAGTATAGATGGAGAAACAAAGGATCCAAGGACAGAACATGGGGTGCTCCAATATTTAGAAGACCAGGAAATGAGGAGAAAGTAGGCAAGGGACCAGAGAAGGCACAAGCAGAGGGCAAGGGGGACAGCCAGGAGGGTGGGGTGTCCGGGGAGGCAGGGGAGGGTTTACGGAGGAGGATGATTCATTGTGTCAGATGCTACTGCTCAGGAAGATGAGTATTGGAAATTGACCTTGGTATGAGCAATTCAGAGGTCACTGTTGACATGAACAACAGTGGTGATAACCGTCATTGGAATAGCACGTCACAGTTTTCAGAGCACCTCATTTGACTGCAAAAATAGCCACAGGGAATGGATAGGAGAGGTATTTTATTATACTTATGAAGATGATATATTTGTCATGGTTCTCCAGAGAAACAGAACTAATAAGGTGTGTGTGTGTGTATGCATATAATGTGTGTATATGAATATGTAGATATATGATTTATACAATACATATAAGGAATTGGCTCATATGGTTATGGAAGCTGACAATTCCCAAGATCTGTGGGATGAGTTGGATCCTAAAGACCCAGGAGAGCTGATGGTGTCAGTTCCAGTCCAAGTCTGATGGCCTGAGACCCAGGAGAAATGATGGGGTATTTCCAGTCCAAAGACTAGCAGGCTCCAGACCCGGGAAGAGTGAATGTTTCACTCCAAGTCTGCAGGCAGGAAAAAGATGATGTCTCAGTTCGAAGGTTGCCAGTCAGGAAGAATTCTCTCTTACTCGTGAAAGAGTCAGGTCTTCATTCTATTAGGCCGTGAATGGATTGGATGAGACTCACTCACGTTGCAGAGGGTCACCTGCTTTACTCAGTCCACCAGTTCAAATGTAACCTTATCCAGAAACACCTTCACAGACACACCCGGAATAATGTTTGACCAATTATCTGAGCACCTTATGGCTGAGTCAAGGTGACACATGAAATAAACCATTAGAGATGGAAAAATTGCACTGCAGAGATGCAACATGGTTTGGCCAGCATTGCAGGCCCCATAAGAGGCAGAACTGAGAACCAAATCCAGTTGATTTAAAACCCCATCTCTTCCACTCCATCACACCATGGTCAACATGGGCTGTGTTCCTGGATTCCTGGAGACAGTTTTTTGTTGAAAGGTTCAATAAACATGAGTCTGTAATAGCTCAGGTGTGGCTCTTCCTGGGGGCAGTCATGACTATAGGCCCACCCACCTGTAAGGCATCATGCATTTGGAAAGGCAGTCCCAATTCCTGTGTAGCCTGTCTCCATCTGTTTGTTCTGGGAACAGCCAGCTGTGGCACAGGCAACTGTATGAGACACGTAAGTCAGAGAGGCATCCAGGCACACTGTGCAAAAGAGACAATGCACAGTGGATATCACAGGTTGAATTGTGTCCCCAAAATTCATATGTTGAAGCCCTCATCCTTAGTACCTCAGAATGAGACTGTATTGGGGGATAGGTCCTTTAGGGGTAAAATGAGGTCATTAGGATGGGGCTTAATCCAATATGACTGGTGTCCTCCTAAGAAGAGGAGATTGGGGCAAAAATGCACACAGACAGATGACCACATGAAGACAGGGAGAAGACAGCATTTGCAAGCCGAGGAGAGCGGCCTTGAAGGGAGCCAACCCTGCTGATGCCCTGATCTCGGACTTTCAGCTTCCAGCACTGTAAGAAAATACAATTCTATTGCATAAGCCACCTATTCTGTGGTATTTGTTATGGCATCCCTAGCAGACTAACACATATTTTGCTACCATGCTGTGGAGTGCTGCTATAAAAAATACCTAAAAGTGTGGAAGTGGCTTTGGAAGTGGGTAATGAGTGAAAGCTGGAAGAGTTTTGGTGTGCAAATTAGAAAAGCCCAGATTGCCTTGAAGAAATTGTTGGTAGAAATATGGACATTATAGGCAGTTCTGGTGAGGGCTCGGACAGAAAAGAGGAGAGCTGCAGAGAAAGTTTCCCTCCTCTTAGAGAACATCTAAATACCATGAAGAGAATGATGCTAGAAATATGGATGTACAGTTCTTCTGGTGAGGTCTCCTTCGGAAATGAGAAACATGCTACTAGAAATTGAAGGAAAGGTGATCCTGGTTATGAAGTGACAGAGGACTTGGCTGAACTATGTTCTGTCCTGTGGAAAGCAGACATTGTATGTGATGAACTTGGATGTTTAACTGAGGAGATTTCTAAGCCAGGTGTTGAAGGTGCATCCTGGTTTCTGTGTCTAAGCCTCCAGTCCATGGTGCTTTTTAGGGCAGCCCTAGAAAGCTAGTACAATAGGAAAGTCCCTGGCTGGCTCTGGAAGCTCTGTTGTTTGTCTGTCAGTGGTGACAAGAGGGCTGAGGGACAGGAGGCAGAGCAGTGGAAGGTCAGACACCACAGCACACCTGGGCTTTCTCTGTCTCTCCCTGAGAACCAGGAGGAGCAGTGATGGCTCCCGTTCTGCTCTCAACGGCCCCTCGCTGAAGGGATCCCATGGCTCCTGGCCACGGTGAAGCCTACCTGGCTCCCAGGGCAGAGCTTCTTCCCTGGAACCTAACCCCTGTGCAGGAGAACTTCGTGGAGAAAAGAGAATGGATGTGGCAAAACAAAACTGCCTTCCACTCTGCTTGATGTTTTCCTTGAAGAGTAAACAAACAGTTCCTGTAGAAAAGCAATGTGACAGCCACATTTTTAAAAAGCCAAATACTGCACGATTTAACTTACATGTGGAATCTAAAAAAGTCAAACTCATAGAGGCAGAGAATCGAAGAAGGGCAGTCACCAGGGCCTGGGGGAAGGAGGGAGTGAAGAGATGTTGCTCAAAGCATGTGAAGTTTCAGTTAGACAGGAGGCATAAGTTCAGGAGACCTACATACAACTGATCTATAGTGAATAACAATACATTGTGCACTTGAAAACTGCCAAGAGAGTAGATTTTAAGTGTTCTTATCACCAAAAAATGGTAAATACATAAGGTAATGCATATGTTAATCAGTTTGATTGATTTAGCCAGTGCACAATGTATACCATATGTCAAAACATCACATTGTACACCGTAAATATATACAAGCTTTATTTGTCAATTAATTTTTTTTAAAAAGGAAGGTGTTGTCAAGCAGTGGGTAGCAACCCCTAGGGGCTGCAGCGGGGCCAGGTGTGCCCTGAGACAGGTACCTCATCGAGGCTTCTGGTCACAGAACAGAAGGAATTATATGCATGCACATTCGACGGCCTCCTTTGGAGTTTTGTGCAGTGGGGTCCAGTGCCCCAGGACCTGTCAAATGCAAATGTTTCTAGCTTTGCAAAGGAGATGAGGAAGGGTGCAATGCTGACACATGCCCACTCTACCAGCACCAAGACACACACCGAGCTCCCCCAGGCCGGCCAGCTCCCCCAGGCTCCCAGCTGACTTTATTTTGCCCAAGAGGCCAGAGCCTAACTCGAGGATTGAAACTCTTGCATTACAACAATCATTAGCCTTCCTTCCCCTGGGCTTTAGAGCATGTAGTAGAGGTGCAGGAGGATGCCCTGAGTGCAAACGGAGGCAGATGGCCTCTGAGGATTCTTAAGACTCTACAATTCTTTCCTTGCAGGGATGCACCAATCCAACTGATTGCAGCATAATGTTTGATCACGCGAATCTGATTCTCCCACTGGCTTCCCTTATAAAATCTAAGATGTGTCCCCAAACAGCCAGAAACTGTCCCCATAGACTTAAATGAAGGCACTGATGAGAAAATCTTTGTCAAGCAACCACCCTTTCTAGGAGAACTTGACCACAAGACATGTGCTTGGCTTCCTCAGAGGCCCCTTCCCCTCCCTAACAGGGGAGACTGGCCATTTGCCTGTTTTTCTGCGCCACCCATCCCCAGCTGGCTGCCTCCTCTCACCAAGAGGTCTGACTTCATTTCTCCATTGCAGTCACCACTCCCTCTCTCCACCTTGGGTTCCCCAGGGCCCATTTGACCCTAAATCCAGGTTTAGCCCCCGCCATACTCCTGCCTCTTCACCAATTTCAAATGCACATATTCTTCATCTAAAAATAGAGCTGATTTTCACATTGGCTTATTAGTGCCCATGTATTTTAGCTTCTAAGTAAGTCTAGAACGCATGTCTCTGTCCCCACCTCTGGTGGTACCAGCCTCACTCAGGCCACCATCGTCTCTCTCTTAAACTGACGCACAAGTCACCCTGATGACATCCCCCTGCCCTGTCAGTCCTGTCTCTGCAGCACAAGTTGATGGATTTTTCTTCACATGCAAAGCTAGTGATGCCACTTCTCTCCATCGCCCTTAGGACGAAATTCAAACCCGTTCAGTGGCTTCCCAGGCCCTGCAAGCCCTCTCTTCTCTGCCCAGTTCATCCCTCACCAGTTGCCTGAGGATTCGGTGCAATCGAATCAGTGTTGATCAGGCCTCGGCACTTCTTTTCTGTCTCTCAAATTCGTCCTCTTCACTCAGATGGTCCCCTTTCTCCTCTCCAGCTGTCCTCCCTGGACAACGTGGCTCACTCTCCCTCTTCCTTCCAGCCACAGCTCTGTTGCTACCTCCTCCATGACCTCTCAACTCTAGTGTAAAAAGTCCTTCTCTGTGCTCGTCTGGCCTCGCACCACCCCATCCCAGGCTTTTCAGGTGGTGGTGTGACAGCCTTTCATTTATCTGTGTCCTCCACTGTACCTGACTAGAAGCTTCATAAAGGGAGGATCGTGCCTGTTTTATTCACCATTTTACCTCCAACACCTAGCACAATTGTTCATCTTAGTGTCCACTTGACTGGGCTAAGAGATGCCCAGATAGCTGGCAAAACACTGTTTCTGGGTGTGCCTGTGAGGGTGATTCCAGAAGAGATCAGCATTTGAATCAATACACGGAGTAAAGAAGGTGCATCCTCAACAACATCGGTGGGTGTCATAGATAGACGCCCTACCTGGTGGATGCCCAGATAGAACCAAAAGGCAGAAGGAGCTAATTCTCTTTCTCTCTGCTTGAGCTGAGACATCCATCTTCTCTTGTCCTCAGACATCAGTACTTCTGGTTCAGGCCTTCAGACTCCAGGGCTTATTATTAACTGATTTATTATCTAATTATTAACTGACTTATACCACAAACGTCCCCAGTTCTCTAGCTTACAGACAGTAGATCAAGGGACTTCTCAGCCTCCATAACTGCCTGAGCCAATTCCCATAATAAGTCTCCTCTTTCATCTCTCTTCCTATCTATCTATCCTATTGGTCTGGATAACCCAGGGTTCTCCAGGTTCTGGAGAATCCTGATTAATATAACAGTGCTCAGAGCATAATAGGTGCTCACCGAAAATCTGTTGAAAGAATGAATGACCCTTGGGAAGATTCAGTAAGGTGATATGTGTAAAAGAGCTTACTCTCATTTAAGTGCCACGCACAGCGTCCAGTACACCACGAGTGCTCAGTTCCATTTTCATTCCTGTCTTCGCTTCAGCCCTATAAAGTAGGGATAATTCCCTGCTTCACTTGGATGTTGTGAACATTAAATCAAATAAAGGATCTGGCAAACTGTGGAGTGCTCTTGACATGTTAATGAGTATATTATTATAATGTGTATTTGTCTTCTTAGCTCAGCTAGACGGAAGTTTCTTTAGGATTGACAGTCTTAGGGCAGCGAGGATGCCTGGAGTACAGGCAGTGAGGGACAGAGAAGGCCAAGAGGCCAAGCGGAGACTTGGAGGGAAGCAGAGGAGGGGAAAGTGGTGAGGCTGAGGATGGAGACAGTGGCCACATCAACAGAAGACACTGCGTTCACCAATAGTCACTCTGTGGCCCCCACCATGTTGTTCCTGGCATTGAGGATACAGTGATAAACCAGACAGACGGAGCCTGCCTTAAGGATGTACATTGAGTGAGCAGAAGACACCACCGAGCGCCAGCCACCTGGATCCACTCACTCATTCTCATTACACCCCCGCAGGGGAAGTGTTGTTAATTTTTTTCCTTTTTACAGAGGAGGAAATGGAAAAAGGGAGAGGTTATGCAAAATTCCAAAGGAAGGCTACACCGCTAATAAATGGCAGAGCCAGAATTTGAACTCAGGCAGTCTTGCACCAAGATAAATGATAACATTTAGAAAAATAAGAATGCTTACCAGCTGAGAAAAGCATCTTTGAATTATTTCCTAGCAGAGGCAAACAGAAGAGGAACCTGGGAGCCTGTTGTGCACGGGAAATGATGAATGCTGGAATAACCCCCGCTCAGTGGAAGACGATGATCCAAGCTCCATGGAGCTGCAGCCCTTCTGAGAGGGTGTTTGGTTTTGATGACATTCCTGTGTATCTCATCCTAGAGAGCAAACTACCTATTAAGAATATGTGCTGTGTATCAAGACTCAAAACTTTCTGAAGGAGTGCAGTCATGTACTTAACAAAGGGGACACCTTCTAAAACATGTGTCATGAGGCAATTTTGTCGTGTGAACATTATAGAGTGAACTTACTCACGCCTAGGTGGTAGAACCTATTACACACCTAGGCTGTATTGTACAACCTAGTGCTCCTAGAATACAAACCTGAACAGCAGGTCACTACTGAATACTGTAGGCAATTGTGACACAATGGTAAATATTTGTGTATCCAAACAAAGAAAAGATACAATAAAAGTGCAGTTTTAAGGCCGGGTGTGGTGGCTCACACCTATAATCCCAGCACTTTGGGTGGCCGGGGGGGCAGATTACCTGAGGTCAGGAGTTCAAGACCAGCCTGACCAACGTGGAGAAACCCCATCTCCACTAAAAATACAAAATTGGCTGGGCATGGTGGCGCGTGCCTGTATTCCCAGCTACTTGGGAGGCTGAGGCAGAAGAATCACTTGAACCCAGGAGGCAGAGGTTGCAGTGAGCTGAGATTATACATTGCACTCCAGCCTGGGCAACAAGAGTGAAACTCCCTCTCAAAAAGAAAAAAAAAGTGCAATGTTTAATCTTATGAGACAACTGTCCTATATGCAGTCCATTGTTGACCAAAACATCATTATGCAGCACAGGACTATATAAGTCACAGTCTAAATCTAAGATCAACAAACTATAGGCCTCTGTAGTTTGGTCTCTCATCATCCAAATCCGGCCCACAGTCTGTTTTTGTAAATAAAGTTTTATTGGCACACAGCCATGCCCATTGGCTCACGTATGGTCTATGGTTGCTTTCCTGCTCCGACTGCAGAGTTCTGCTATTGTGACAGAGACCATCTGGTCCAGGAAGCCTAAAAGAATTACTATCCATCCCTTTATGTGAAAAGTTTGACACTCCCCCACTCTACTCCACCCACCAGCACAAAAACGTCTGACTCCAAAATGAGAAAAAATGTTTCTCAGCCTGGGCTCCACTGTGGGAAAGGAGGCCTTGCCCAGTTAACTCATTCCCCTACCTCGGGATTTCTTGTGTGTGCATTATCTAGATAATCTTAGCAACTATCCCCTCCCTAAGATCCTCGGTAGTAAATCTCTCAGCTACTTGGCGTTAATTAACCCTTTCAGCCTCCAGAATGGCACTGAGAATCCCCTTACCTGGAAATCTAACTGCAAAATTTTTGTTTGAAAATTTTTTGAAGGTGAATTCAACCTTACATGGTCCCCAGGCAAGGTTTAATTCACCTTTAAAAAAATTCAAACAAAAATAGAGCCTGACCTGTCTCGCTGTCACCAGGCCCACAGACTAAAGGCAAGTCCCTTAGCTAGGGGCTCATGGAGGCCTGGGGAGACCGGGGTGAACCCACAGCTGAGTGGGGGTTAAGAGCAGTGGACCTCAGCGCCCGGACGCTTACTCACAGCTCAAAGCTGGGCGAGTCCCTGCACCAGGAGCTGCATGTCCACCTCTGCCCATGGAACGTACAGGAATGTGCATGTTGAAACCAGGGTTGATATCCAAATTCCCCCGGGGAATCCTGCCCTTGGAAAGTTTTGTTTCATGGTGTGAGCAGCCCTCTTCAGCAGCACAGTGACGGGGGCATGGGCTAGAAGGAATTGTTTAGCAAATAAGCTCAAGAATGTCACAGGCAGAGGGGGCAAACAGTGGCATTCTCACTCCCATTTCTCACACACCTGCTCAGGGTGGGGTGAAACAAGGACCTGTTGAGGCAAAGATCGTGAAGTCCCTGTTTGATCTCTGTGGGCAAAAAGCACAAGAATGAGATGCAATTCTGTTACTATTAAGTTCAGGAAGAGGTTTTTCCAAGTTGAAAGGACGGTGTATCACCCACTTATAGCAGACACAGGCTACAGTTGGTTCTTGTGTATTTGTGGGAGATGGGGAATGTTAGTTTTGAAGTGCCAGCTAGTACCCATAAGGTTGCTTGTGTTTTGGGGGTTTTTTGTTGTTTTTGTTTTGTTGTTGTTGTTTTTATTTATTTTGCTATCTGTCTATTTTTGCAGTGGGTTTTTCCCTAGGAATGGTCTCAGCTAATCAAAATATGAAAGGTGCTAGAAGTGTAACATGAGAGTAGCAATGTCAGGTGGCAGGGAAGGCTGCATGCTCCCCTTGGCAGGCAGCTGGAGCCCTCCTAGTAAAACAGTGGTAGATGGCATGGGTGGAGCATTTGCCATGGCCGCACCTGTGCAAGATGTTTTCCAGGCATTACCTCAGTTGGCCATGTCATAGGGATTCTGCAAAGTACCTGTGAGCCATGCATATGCCCCCATAACACGGGTGAGAAAACTGAGGTGCAGGCAAGTGAGGTAACATTCTGAGTCTGGGCTCCATCCAAAGCAGCGCCTGAGACAGACTTGGGTACAAGCAGGTAACTTGGGAGTTGATCCCAGGAAGCATGAGGGACAGGAAAACAGGGGATGTCAACATAAGGTTGTATGAGATGCATGACGTCCCCAGAATTGTGCAACTAAAGGAGAACACGTCTGCACTAGCTTTCAGCCTGGCGTTACCTCTTCAGGGCAGAAAGCAAAAAGGCCTGCAGGACACTCTTGAGGCACAAGATGGCCACATCTTCGGCTGTAGTCACAGGGGGACTGAAGTGGTAAAACACGGGAGCAGTGGTGTCTGTTGCTGCAACACATGGGGAAGAATTCAAATTTGGGTCTCTAATTCAGAGACTATTCTCTCCATCACCACCCTCCCATTTGACTGGCCCTGGGGAGCAGAGCTTTTGCTGGGCTGCCCAGAGGACAGGAGGCCTCTGCCTGATCTTGCTGGGCTCACCACCTGCCTCCTTGAGCACTTGGTTCCAAGTGTGGAGAAGTCTGGCCTATATGCCCCCATCAAAATGCAATTTGTCCTGCTGGCAGGGTGAAGATTGTCCACCTTGATGAAGTTAGACACGCTAAAAGTCCAAAGCTGCATGGTTCTGCAGGCTTTGCACTGTATGACCCCAGAAACACTGTTCCCCAGATAGCAAAGTGAGTGGTGCCCCCTAGAGTTGTGCAGTGAACAACAAAAGACTTGTATAAAGTGGCTTTGGACCCAGGACTTTCACTGCCAGAGGTTTCCAAAAGTGCATCTGTTCTCAGATGCTCTTGGGGCCACTTGCTCTTGGACGGGGCCCATCAGCATAGCACCTTGGCCATGGGCCCTGCCCACTCTTGAGGCTCTCAGCGCTTGCTTAAATCTCAGTTGTCTGCTGCTTTCCATTAGTTGTTGAAGCCCCATTTCCAAGCAGCAGTGATCACCCATGCCTCCTATACATACCCTTGGAATTTGAAAGAACGGCTGCATAATGTGACCACCACCACTGGAGAATGTTCTGCTGCTGGACAACACTCTCTGATGAGAATCTTGATTGTCTCAATGCTCAGTGGAGTTAGGGGCAGCTTTGCAGGGAGCATCACATTATTGGTTGTGGGTTGTCCCTTTCTCCACAACCAGCATTAGAAACTGACACCAAAGTGAAGAGAGGTAGGAATATGAGTATCGGGGATGCCTTTGCCTGTAACCCAGGTGTGAGACCAAAGGCCATCTGCCTCCTTCTCTCAGAAATGTAATAACTATGGTTCAGGATCTATAATTTAATTATAGATGTCATAGGATGTAAGAGAGACATGAACACTCTTCTCCAATGCCAAAATCTGTGCCTTAAGTAAAAGAACTTTCTAAGAGACCTGAAAGGTAAAAATGAGAAGCTCATGCTGCAAACACTTCTGTGCTGTTTTCTTTTCTGCAAAATTTCACTTAATCTCTGTGACTTCACTGGTGGGGAATAAATGTGCACAGTTAATGAAAGACAAGAGGTTGTGGACCTAACTGTGCAATGGAATCAAAGCTTTTCCTGGACACCCATTGCCTCACTGATTATCTGACCATCCTGAAAATATTCAGAGAATCTGCGGATGCTCACTTTCATGTCAGAGGATATTCACTCATTCACTCCTCAAAGATCAGGCTGCCTTGATGCAATTCCCACCCTCAGGGGTTCACAGCTGAGAGTCAGGAGAGAGAACAAACCACATAACAGTTACAATACAACGGGATGAATGCTATAATAGAAGAGAATTTTGTTCTATGTGGAATAGGAGCACAGAGGAGGGGACCCACTAGTACTGCCTAGGTGAATCAGGAAAAGAATGAGTCAAGAGATAATATAGTAGTTGAGTCTTAAGGAAGAGTAGTTTTCCAGGGGATGAGCTGGAAGGGGCATTCCAAGCAGAGCAGGGAGAATATGCTAAAGTTTAGACGCTTAAAGCTTTGTGGCGTGTTCAGAGGGCTTACGTGGTTTTCTGTGACTGAAGTATGGGGTGCAAGAGGCAGGTGAGGAGAAATCAGAAGAGGCTGCATGAGCTGAGGCTGAAACTAGGCTGGAACCGCACAACGGTGACAGCTTTAGGATGCTGCCTCCAGGGACCCTTGCATTAATTGTTATGTGGAGACCAGGATTAAGCTGAATGAAGTGCTTAGTTTAGCCAAGCATGCAGCCTTTGCCTCCTTAACCATAAAAGGAGGTAGTGTCTCTCGCTTGATGAGATTTGAAAAGTAAGGGACATCCTGCCCAAAATATCTTCTGTACTAGCTTGACACAAGACAAGAAATGTCACTATACGAATGCCATTCCCTTGGATCAGAAAGGCCTCTTGGCCTTCAACATCCCTTAATAAACATGCAAATAGCCTAGGAGGAGAGAACACCCTGAATCTTGTAGTTTACTGTGCATTTTCCTGGTTACTAATGGGGTGAGCATCTTTTCATGTGTTATTGGCCACTCATGGTCTCACTTCTCTGAATGCTTGTCCCATGCTTTCTCTAACTTTTCTGTTGAGTTATTTCATATTGGCTGGTAGCAATTCTTTATGTCCTTTCGTTGCTAATCCTTCATCAGGTATATGTGTGGCAAATATTTGGCAGCTTGTCTTTTTCTGAACACCGGAGAGATGTGTTAGTGTATCTCTCTGCTAACATCTGCCTGGGATGATTGATCACGTTTGTGCCAGACAGAAGGTCAAGAGCTAGGTTAGGACCCAAGACAGAGTCTGAGGAGGAAGGGAGGAATGTGACTCTAGTGAACAGGGTAGGGCATTGCAGAGGGAGGGTAAAGTCCCAGCACTTGGCTTACGTTCCTTCCAATGGATCTGGCAGGCACCTCTTACTGTCTCTGCCAGCAACCTCCTCCGCCTGCATGGTCCGGCCATAATAAACCACCTTTCAGATCTCAGGATTTGCCATGATCTCTGCCTCAGGCCTTTCCCCATGCCATTCTCTCTACAGGGGTTCCACTTCTAAACCCTTCCCAGCCTGCTCTGTCCAGAAAATCCTGCTGGTCCTTTAGTTCTTTCCTGGCGTCCTCACCTTTGGGGGCTTCCCAATCACATCAGGACCCAGTAAGATCCCAGTTAGAATCCATCCCCAAGGCTCCTGTGGGAATCTTAACTCATCCCAGCTGAGACTCTCACCTTTTACTCATCAAAAAACTATGTGTTTGTCCAGATAGAGCCTTAACTTCATTGGGTAATGCTTTCTACATTCCACACATTGTCATGCTCGATGTCTAGCTATGTGACAAATTTTTTAAAGAATGAAATGACTTGATAAAGGCAGTTTGGAATGCACTGACACTTTTTAATTCGGCTTCCCAGACCTAGTATAAATATAGTCATTTTAAAATCAACATTTGCATGGTAAATCTAGCATTTTTTGTATAAGACACAAGAGACTTTCAGCTGAAGTTAGAACTTTCATAATCTGTATTTCACTCCGAGGAGGACCTCACAGACGACCACCTGTGGGTGGTGCCCTGACAGCAGCAGCCCAGACCCGGATCGCTGTTGGAGGAGGGCCACCCTGGCCCCTCACTGGACTATGATGTAATTGCAAGGCAAACCTTGATTGTGTTAAGCCTTTATCACAATCAGTATTCATTTATCTCATTTCCCTTGTTAAAACAACCTCCTTTTGGAATTGGCTTTGAAATCTGTTTGGAATATGTTCAGTGCTATCCAACTATTATCCTTTGAATATGAATGAACTGATCCAGTCAGTTCAACAAATATGTGTTGAGCACCTAGTATATTCTAGGTAGAATGACAGGGGCTGGGAAACATAACAAGAAAAGTCTCTGCTCTGCGTGAGCTCACAGTGTGGTGCACACAGCAGCGCTTCTGCATCCAGCAATTCCTCTAAGGCTGGGCGCAAGAAGTGGCCGCAATGACATCAAGTAGAAAAACACTTGAGTTTTAAGTCATAAAGCTTTTTCCTTGGAAAACACTGTAAACAAGAGTAACTGCTATCCTGTCAGTGGAAACGCATGTTAAATCCATAAGCATCCAAACGACAATACTGAATAGCTCCATTCTCTGACTGAGAGGCCCTACTTCCTAGCTTTGGATGAGCTGTGACGAGCCTGCTGGAGGGGCTGCACAGTCTGCAGAGGGAAGTGACATGCTTGGGACTCTTGGTGCCTCAAGATGATTCCTGGGTTGGGCTGTTGAGTTGTTCAGTTGTCGAGTGTCTTTTGGTAAGCAATAGGCCTCTTTTGTGCTTCTATACTCCCCATGTATGAACCAAAGAAGAGGATAAACACCCTTATGCTGTGATATGGTTTGGATCTGTGTCCCCGCCCAAATCTCCAGTCAAATTGTAATCCCCAGTGTTGGAGGAGGGGCCTGGTGGGAGACGATTGGATCATGGGGACGGATTTCCCCCTTGCCGTTCTTGTGATAGTGAGCGACTTCTCACAAGATCTGGTTGTTTAAAAGTGTGTGGCACCTCGCCAGCCCGTTTTTCCTGCTCCAGCCATGGAAGATGTGCCTGCTTCCTCTTCGCCTCCTGCCATGATTGTAAGTTTCCTGAGGCCTCCCCAGCCATGCTTCCTGAATAGACTTTGGAACTGTGAGCCAATTAAACCTCTTTTTTAAAATAAATGGCCAGTCTCAGGTACTTCTTTACTGCAGTGCGAGAAAAGACTAATACACGCTGTATTACCAGGCTGTGTAAGGATAACACAAGGATGAGAGCAGCAGGCTGTGGGCTCAGAAGGTTTGTTGTGATGAATAAATCATGGTAAATATTGATGACAGTAGGGCTCTCATGGCACTCACCTTATTAGGTTTTAAAAACATTCCTCCCCCAAATGGCATATACGGGAAGAGTGAGAAGGTTAAACTAATGGAGAAATGGGTTAATATGAAGACTGCCCTATTGGGATAAAGAAAACAGTTCACACAAATAGAATCATCTCAGGGTAAAGGCTGAAGCCGCCAACTGATTCCAGACCCTGCTTCAGACACTGCCTGTGGCATCCCCAGCTAGCTCTGACAACTGTGTTTATCTGATGAAATGTAATAGACTTGCCTGGCTCAGACTCACAAGCACACTGCACGGTGCCGCGTGGTCTGCAGTCCCACTGCAGGGTCCATGCTTCCACTCTGGGCACCATTCATAAATCCCATCACCTCACCCTCTCCTTGAAGGAAGGCCGAGCGTTTCTGGGCTCCAGTTCCATGGTTCCTGTGTCATACATAACATAGGATCAGATTGATTCTAAGCTACCTTCCAGCTCAAGCATTCTAAAATTCCAGTCATAAGGAATTTCCCAACAACAACAAAGTAGAAGAGCGTAACCACAAAAAGTACATTTCAAAAATCAGTAGCCAAGGAAAGAAGCATTAGATTCTGGAGCGGGGCCCGAGTCCCAGCCCAGCACAGCAGGGTCTTCAGCAGTCTGCTCCCCATCTCCAGAAGCCCTACTGGTGACCCTCCAAACCCTGAGGGCCAAGCTCAGAGGAGAGCTTTCTTTCACTCCTCTTCTGACCAAGGAGCTGGGGAATCCCCTGTGAGGACTAAGTAGTTGCATCAGGGAAGAGATCTGAACCCTCCAGTTTCCCCATGGGAATGGGGTCTGCCCTTGGGCAAGACAGAGCTGGTCCTAGTACTGGACACTTAACAAAATTTCCTTTCATGAAAGAAAGTCCAGATAGACCAACAAATATATCAAATCAGAGTGACTGAATTCTTTCCTTTTATCTTTGCAATCCCCTAAGCCAACAGAAAGGGAAACAGTCTTCAGACTGCTCATAGAGAAAAACAGCTTGGCCTCGAAGGAGTCATGTCAAATTACTCTAACTCAGAGCAGACAGAATGTCTGGGGAGAGCTACCCAAGCATATGTTAGATGCAAAGAATGGCTGAGCAATTATGCAAACATATAGCCAAGGAAAGGGAAGAAGGAAGGAAGGGACAGAGGGAGGAAAGGAGGGAGCGAGGAAGGGAGTGGGGAGGAGGAAAAGGGAGACTGTAGACCTAAGGAAACAGGTGGTGAGCAATGAATCTATTGAAATATACAACATATGTTACACGCCAATAAGAATTATAGCTCTCAAACGGAATGTGATCAGTCACATAAACCTGGTCAATGTGAAAATGTCTGTTTTCGTTCCCTAGGGCTGCCATAACAAAGCACCGCAGACTAGCTAGTTTTAAAGCAACAGAAATTTATTGTCTCACAGCTCTGGAGGCTGGAAGGCAGATCAAGGTGTCGGCTGAGTTGGTTCCTTCTGGAGGCTCCAAGGAAGAATCTGTTCCAGGTCTCTCTCCCAGCTTCCAGCAGTTGCTGGCAATGCTTGGCATTCCTTGGCTTGTAGCTGCATCACTCCAACATCCCTTTGTCTTCATGTGGCTTTCTTTCCTCTGTGTATCTGTGTTCAAACTTTGCTCTTATGAGAACATCAGTCACTAATTTAGGTCTCACCTCAATCCAGCCTGACCTCATCTTAACTCAAGGACTTCTGCAAAGACCCTATTTTCCAAATAAGACCACATTCACAGGTCTCGGGACTAGAATTTGAGAAAACCTTTTTGGGGGATTCAGTCCAACCAACTCTAACATAACTTACTAAAATTGAGACGAAGAGGAGGGGAAATGAAAGCCACATGAGAATGCCAGTATCCTCTTCTTTCTTTGGAAAGAGACAATTGCTTTGTTCTAAAATTGAGATGCATATTGTATGTGTATGTGCATGCATGCATATATAAAATCCCAACCTGTTCATGTTATCTGCAATCTCTTTCCTTACCCTTAGAGAAATAATATCCTTTGTGGTAAAGAAACATTCACTTAAGGCTCAACAGCTTCGGTTTATTTTTGGTCTTTTACAAAATAAATAAAATTTAAATGTAATGATTTTTATTCTTTTAGAGGCTATAGTGACTATTTAAGCAGTTGCTCAACGAAGCAATTACAACATTCACTTTCTTTCTGAAAACCACCAAAATCATCAGAAAGCATATGATCATGTCAGTCTTAGTGAGTTTGAAAGCTCCAGCAATTGGCCTGGCACACAGTTTCTGTTTAATAAATGCTTGCTAAACTGGACTATTTTCTTGCTAATTACACAGAGCAGACATGTCCAGACCCCTTCAGAATCTCGCACCTGTTGAGTTAAACATCCTAGGACTGCATTTTTTCATTTCTCTTTTGCACCAAACAGTCTAACTCTGGGAGATTAATTCCAGACATAGCTGAGGAGGAGAGGGCACACTTGTCCTCAGATGAGCTGATCCTGTACTGAAGGGGAAAATGAATTCCTTCTTTCTGTCTGGAATGTATTTAAAGCCCTCTGCTTTAAAGCCGTATACTCTGGCAAAATAGTAATTTTGTCCTTAGACAACGGGATCTGCTGGTGAAAATCTGAGGAGAGCATCTGCCAGCTCCCTGGGCTCAGCTCCTTTCCCTGCAAAGGACACAGTGGTTGCTGATGAACGCAGCCTGGCTCAGAAAGGAATGAGTGCTGCTGCTGACAGCTGTGTGCGGGTGTGCTGAAGGGTCCATAGCCCATCAGCTTTGCACCTCCCCATCCTCCCTGCTCCTCCCATGCCCGATCACCTCCAGCGTATTGGAGGGCAGCAGCAGTGACTCAGGGTTTAGTGAAAAAACAACGTGCACACCTGAAGACTGGCCTTAGCTCTTACTATCAGGCTCTTGGCAGGGAAAATCAGGGCCATATGCCTCTTGCCTCTTTCTCTGCCTCTGTCTGGTGTGCAAGCCTCTCTCTCTTCCCCATCCTTCTCTCTCATTTGCGCCCCAGGGCATTCAACATTCTCCATAACAGGCCCAGGGCCTGCCAGGCCGCGTTTGCCGCTCCCGTGCTGACTCATCCACAGAGCCCATCCCAGGCCAAACGTTCCCTCTGGCTGGAAATGCAGCTTGGTGTATCCTTGGCTCTTGTTCATTTTTGCCGTGGTCAGTTTCCTATTTCCTCTTCCCCAGGTGGCGTGTGGGTCCTGTGCTGTGCCCTGCCACCCTGCGAGTTATGGAGAGAAATTCACATAGGCTTGGGGTCCTGCAGGACCACCTTTGGGAGGGGCACAGAACAGCGCTGTCCTTTGGAAGTGTCAAGAAGCAGCTGCTCGGGGGCCAGGTCTAGAGCCAGGCTACACACTAAAGACAGCTGCAGCCCCAGGCTGGCACTGCCCGGGTCCAGGTTTGGCTTAATTGCCTTATTCTGTAACCTAACTAGAAGAACTAGGTGGGTGAAAAACAATAAATGCTCATTTAAATTCTGTCCTAGCTGTCCAAGACAGAGGTTTAGAGCTGCTTAGACCTCAGAGATCACTGTGTTCAATTTCTCTCTCTAAAGAGGAGACAGGGATGCCCGAGATGGGCTATGGCTCCCCAAGGTCACCTGGGAGAGCAGAGTTCCAGGGTTCTGGTCAAGAGCTACCTCCTTGCCTCCTGGAAGTGCAACCTGTGTGCTACCATGTGAATTCTGGACACCGTCAAGTGCTTTGCTCCAAAAGGCTGTGTCAGGGTCCACTGACAGCCATACCAGAAGAGGAACTTGTTTAGGAAGGGAAAAAACACTTCCATGTGGCAGCGATGGAGGATTACACCAAGGCAGGTGCTCTGGGTAAGCCAGGGAAAGACAGCAAGATAGACCTGGACGGAGCTTCATAACGGACAATTCCCTGGGGATTACAGGGATTAGCTCTCATAATGCCTTTCTATGACAGCTCAGTGGCAGAGGACAGAAAAAAAAAATAACAGCTTCATACAGGGAGATTTTGAAAAGGTAATGAGCAATGTGGCATTGTGAAACACTGGGTTGCAAAAGCAACGTGACTTCTCCTAAAAGCATGTATTTTGACCTCAAGGAAATCTCTGCAGACACACTTGCTCCCTCAGCATCCATGAATTCCACTCCGCTGGCCTGCAGTGAACCACTGCAGAGAGGTGGTTGAGAGAGCGGAAGGAGATGATGGAGAGTGGGGGAGATGATGGGGAGTGGGGGAGATGTTGGGGAGCGGGGGAGGTGATGGAGAGTGGGGCTGATGATGGGGAGTGGGGGAGATGACGGGGAGCCGGGGAGATGATGGGGAGGGGGGAGATGATGGAGAGTGGGGAGATGATGGGGAGTGGGGAGATGATGAAGAGCGGGGGAGATGATGGGGAGGGGGGGAGATGTTGGGGAGCAGGGGAGGTGATGGAGAGTGGGGCTGATGATGGGGAGTGGGGGAGATGTTGGGGAGCGGGGGAGATGATGGGGAGCGGGGGAGATGATGGAGAGTGGGGGAGATGATGGGGAGTGGGGAGATGATGGAGAGTGGGGGAGATGATGGAGAGTGGGGGAGATGATGGAGAGTGGGGGAGATGATGGGGAGTGGGGGAGATGACGGGGAGCCAGGGAGATGACGGGGAGCCGGGGAGATGATGGGGAGGGGGGAGATGATGGAGAGTGGGGAGATGATGGGGAGTGGGGAGATGACGAAGAGTGGGGGAGATGATGGGGAGTGGGGAGATGAGAGCAGGGGAGATGATGGGGAGCAGGGGAGATGATGGGGAGTGGGGGAGATGATGGGGAGCGGGAAGATGATGGAGAGTGGGGGAGATGATGGGGAGTGGGGGAGATGACGGGGAGCCAAGGAGATGATGGGGAGCCGGGGAGATGATGGGGAGGGGGGAGATGATGGAGAGTGGGTAGATGATGGGGAGTGGGGAGATGATGAAGAGTTGGGGAGATGATGGGGAGTGGGGAGATGAGAGCGGGGGAGATGATGGGGAGCGGGGGAGATGATGGGGAGCAGAGGAGATGATGGAGAGTGGGGGAGATGATAGGGAGCAGGGAAGATGATAGGGAGCGGGGGAGATGATGGAGACTGGGGGGAGACGATGGGGAGCGGGGGAGATCATGGGGAGCAGGGAAGATGATAGGGAGTCCGAGGCACTGACTTTAAAGCTGGGAAATCACAGGACTGTGACCTCAAAGCTGAGTCACCTTAGTGGCAGTCTGCTCATTTATGCAGCCTGTGTCCCAATCTCCACTGTCAAACCTTGAACAGACCAGGAGAGAGAGCTCCCCTCCTCTGGGATCCGCCCTTCCATCTGACAGAGCTCTAATTGATCAAACATCTATACAGGTCAGAGCAGACTCCCTGTGCCTTCTCAGCATTGTTTAATCCTGCCATAATTCTCAGCAGTCTGAATATTACAACTTGGTAACAAATTCTAGACACTATGCACAGGTGCACACGTGTGTGTGTGTGTGTGTGTGGTGAGGGGGAACTTCCACATTATTTAGATTTATAATCTTGCTAATTACAGACAATTACCAAGGAAGCCAATGATTTATTCAGTTAGAAGTTAGCAGTGACAAATTCTATACATCATATATTTGTTTCATAAGTCTATTTGAATTTATAAATCCTGAATTTCACACTAGGAAAACAAGCTTAGTCAGCTTTCAGATGCTAACATTGCAAATATTAAAAGTAAAAGTCTGGCACAGTGGCTCACACCTGTAATCCCAGCACTTTGGGAAACCAAGGTGGGAGGACCACTTGAGGTCAGGAGTTGCAGACTAGCTGGGGTAATATAGTGAGACCCATCTCTACTAAAAATTTAAAAATTATCTGGGTATGATTTCACACACCTGGAGTCCTAGCTACTCAGGAGGCTGAGGCAGGAGGATCACTTGAGCCTAGAAGGTCGAGGTTGCAGTGAGCTATGATAGCACCATTGCACTCCAGCTCGGACAACAGAGCAAGACCCTATCTTAAAATAACTAAGTGGGCCGGGCACAGTAGCTCACACCTGTAATCCCAGAGCTTTGGGAGGCCAAAATGGGAGGATCATGAGGTCGGGAGATCGAGACCATCCTGGCCCACATGGTAAAACCCCATCTCTACTAAAAATACAAAAATTAGCTGGGCGTGCGTGATGTGTGCGCCTGTAGTCCCAGCTACTTGGGAGGCTGAGGCAGGAGAATCGCTTGTACCCGGAAGGTGGAGGTTGCATTAAGCCGAGATTGTGCCACTGCACTCCAGCCTGGCGACAGAGCAAGACTCCATCTCAAATATATATACATACATACATACATACATACATACATACATACATAGAAGTCAGCCTTTTCCCAAGATGTATACCCCATCTTCGATAATGACACTTTTTTCCCCGTCCCTGTGTCCAGAACTTGGAGTCACCTCCGATGCTTGGCTTCCTTGCACCCCCAGCGTCAGGCTCGCTGGGCACCCCTTGCCCTGAGACTCTGCCTTCCTTCCATGCGACTGCAGGTCTCCATCAGCCCCTAACCATGCCCTACTTTCCTGCTCCAGGATCCAATTCCCCTCCATCATCCCTGGCCCTTCGCAGAAGCCGCCTGTCTCATCACCAGCGAGAGGCCGACACCCAGCCCTCTGGTCTGCAGCCCCAGCTTCTTGCTGTGCTCTCTCTTTGTGCATCTGGATGTGGCTCCCTGGTGCCTCCACCCCAGCCTCTCCCCAGCCTGCTCCCTCTCGCTCTCTGCTACCCAGGTCCAAGCTGAGGTCATTGTCCAGTTCGCCCAGTGAACACTGCCTTCCCCCTGACCTTCCCTTGAGCCATCTTTGGGTGTCAGTCTTTCTTGTGCAAGAGCCATGCCATACCTTTAACCTGCCTAACTCCTTCTTTTAGAGCCTCAGCTTGATGATGATGGGACTCCTCTCTTGCCTCAGGCCACGGCCCCACCTTGCCTTGTGCTGGGGGGCCCTCACTTGCCTTCTGTAATGCTCATCCCAGGGTGAGACCCCTGCAATGCCTGCCTCCTTGTGGATTGAGACCTCCACTAGGACGGGGCCTCCTCTGTCATCCCTGCCTCCTCTCCTGTATCTAGCACAGCGCTGGCTCCTAGGAAGCACTCAGCACCTGCTCCTGCCTGAGTGAAGGAAAGTGGCCCGTGGTCTACAGAACGCAGCTCCAACTCCGCTAAGTCCCGGCCAACGGCATCCTGAGCTTCCTCTGCACCCTTCTCTCCACTCCAGGTCCCTGTGCACACAGCGGACTGACTGCTCTTCTTGCCTCCACAAATCTGGAACACTCCCATCTCACAAGCCCCTTGCTCATAATAATGTGTACTATGTATTATACATGCTACAGAACATATTGATACATGGTAATATTCAATTTGACAAATTTAAAATACTTGTCTGTTAACTTAATACATAATATATAAAGGTTAATAATATTGGATGTGTATTTCATAATAAATAATAAATTATAAGGCCGGGTGCAGTGGCTCATGCCTGTAATCCCAGCATTTTGGGAGGCAAAGGTGGGAAGATTGCTTGAGTCCAGGAATTTGAGACCAGCCCGAGCATGGTAGTTATCATACATACAATTATAATTACATATAATATATTAATGTAATACATTTTATATATTTTGTATAATATATTATCTAATAGTGTATTAATTATAATAAATAATTATTTACAGTAACTAAATAATTAAAGTGGTCTGTAAAATTCTGTGTGTGTGTACGTGCATCTATAATAACACAATATGCCTTTTTTCTGGGCCAGCTACTCTTCCAAACACCTGGCATGAATTATCTCACTTAATGTTCACAACAGCCCTCTGATGTGAGTATTGTAATTACCACCACTACCGAAACACATGCTACCATTCTGCCTCCCCATCCTCTGAGTCCCCGCGGCAGGCCCCTCGCCCAGCGATCTGCTTGGCAGGAGTGGCTCTCATCCTCACCTTCACCCCACCAGCACTTTCTTTCTGCCTCTTTGCCACCGAGCAGGTCTCAGAGCCTGCCTTCTTGCAGCTGTCAGGGTACATTCAGGACTCTCCAATATACGAGAAGCCCGGCAGGGCAGGACAGGGGCAGGCCTGGCTCCTTCTGTGTACCTGCAGCCCAGGTGGACGTCCACAGCTTGTCACGTCCCCTTGGAGCAAGCCAACACCTAGTCTTGAGAATTGGCATCCACACAGATGGAGGGGTCAGAAACCTGGTCATTGTTCTCCGCGGCACAATTTGCTCAGCCACGTCTTCAGCATAACTGTTAGACCCACTCGTCAAAGGTAATGTGGCCTGTGGGTTTGCTCATGATGCAGAAGTTCCACCAGAGCGCAGGTTTAGAAGACAGAGTTGGCAGTGGCTGGTGCGGAGGGGCTGGCTCCTGATTTGGAAGCTTTAAGCTTCTCAGGCTGCCAGGTGAATGGTCATGGCCTGCCCGAGGCCTCAGGTGTGACTTGTCCTGCTCCATCCATGGAGAGACAGCTCTGGTTCCACCGTCCAGTTATCCCCCAGGCCACCAGGAAAGGAATCCGGAACATCCTGCCCTGCAGCCTCTCCCCTCCTTCAAGGACACCTCAGTGCCACACACAGGGCCTTAAATCTGTCACCCCCAATCCTGGCAGCCTATTCCTTTCCTAGTTCCTCTTCAGCAGGCCCAGCAAAAATCCCTCCTCATTTTCACTAGGAAGCAGGGTCAGTTGGAGGCAGTGGGTACTTTGAGAAAGCTGCCATTTTCATAACATTTAATGCTATTCGGTATCTATCTAGAGGAGAAGCCGAGTGCCACGCTCAGCTCTCCTCCTGCCTTCCCCTCCAGCCAAGGCTCAAACTCCACACTTTTGTCCCAAGCAGTTCCACTCAAGCCCTCAATTTACGTATTTTGACCAGGAAACCAAAAAGCCCACAGGTGACTGGACTTGCATTCCTTAGGAGGGCACTTTGGTCAATTTAATGGAGTGGGAAGGGCTCACCCCTTGCACCAAAGTCAATATCCAAGGATTCTCTCCAGCCACATGGAGTCATCTCTCTGAGCCATGATCAGGTGGATAAATGTTGCTTTTCTCTTGCCCATTACATTTCTAGGACTGTGTTAGTGGGTGTTGGAGATCAGCCTCCTCAGAAGCAGACTTTGAGACCAGAATTTTCGTGCAAGCAATTTCTTCAGGCAGTTCTCCTGGAGAAACTGATCAACAGGCAGGAACAGCACAGCAGGAAAGGTAGGCACCCAAGCCAGGTGGTAAAAGCATTTTCTGCTTGATCCTGCAGAGAAATTTGGAGTGAAAATTACACCTCCTCAGAGTTTGTCCTGTGTCATAGCAAGGAACCTGAGCTTCCATATTCCTTCATCAATTAGTCATTGCCAAGGGCCATCCTCAAGGAGCTGTCATTCCTGGATACTTTCAGAACTCTAGGAATGGAGGCAAAGTGGCTGCACTCACCCAAGGGCAGCTGGGACACAGGTGCTGGCCATCAGAAGCAAAGCACAAGGATGCTAGGTGTCTTCATTCATTGTTGCGTTGCTATAAAGGAATACCAGAGGCTGGGTAATTTATAAAAAGGTTTACTTGGCTCACAGTTCTGCAGGCTGTACAAGAAGCACCAGCACCTTCTGGGGAGGGCTCAGGTGGCTTCCACTCATGGCAGAAGGTGAAGGGGAACCAGCGTGTGCAGGGAGGAAGCAAGAGAGGGGAGGAGGTACCAGGCTCCTTTAACAACCAGCTCTCTCAGGAACTAACAGAGCAAGAACTTACTTGCTCTGCTCCAAGGGAGGGCATTATCTACTCCTGAGGGCTCCACCCCCAAGACCCAAACACTTCCCATTATGTCCCACCTCCAACATTGGGATCAAATTTCAACAAGAGGTTTGGAAGGGTCACACATTCAAGCCACAGCCCCGGGGCTTGGGCACACAGCAACCAGGAGAGGGAGCCAAGGGGAGCTGGGTGGAGCACAACAGTGCTCATTGCAGTGACCTATGTTGAGTGGCACTTTGGGCAATTGCTGTCCACTGGCCACTCCTTAATCTGGCTCTGCCTAGGATTGGGGTTTAATAACCTAGTAGAATCCAATTATGACCCTGGCGTCATTAGGTAATCAAGATGAGCCTCAATCTCAATCCCTCTCCCTCTCCCTCTCTCTTTCTCTCTCTCTCTCTCTCTCTCTCTCTCTCTCACACACACACACACACACACACACACACAGCACAGCAGCAGAGCAGTTAGGAAACACAGGGCTTCATTTATAGATGGGCTCCAGAAAGCTGGCCCAGGTGGGAGGCACCTTCCTCTCCCTGTTCAGTACCATATCACCCCTCAGCACCCTTGCCATCCCGCTGCTCCTTCCTGCTCCCACCTCTCAGTGGTTCCGTGTTTGTCTGAAAAATAGCATCTGTTTCCTTTTGTCACTGACCCTCCGTCTTCTGAATCCATGGGATTTGTTTGTGAATCCTTTCCTGGAGCATACATAATTTGTGTATCAACCCTTCTCCCAGACTCCTGGAGGCTGGCTTCCTCACCACCCAGGTTACTGGCTCTCTGGAGCATCAGTCTGTGCTTTGTAAGGCAAAGAGGACTCCGTTCTGAGGATTACTGGTGTTTCTCACGATTTTGTTGTGGCTAGAAGCCTGACATTCTGCTGGAGATCACATCGTGGCCCCAGCCCTGAGGTGCACTGTGCAACCCTGGGCATTGCAGAGATTCCACAGCACACAAGGAGGTGCGCTCTAGAAGCAGCCGGCCAGCTTCCTGTCCCATCGCCACCATTCAAGAGGGGAGGATTAGTTCACTTTCCACATCTGTCAGTGGAGTTAGGAATAGAACCTCCCTATGAGCTTGTTCTGAGAAAACAAAGTCATGCGGGCAAATAGCACAGCACCTGCCTGGCCACCGTGAGCACTCTATGAATGGTGGTGGGGCCCTGGCAGCAGCAGCCAGTGTCGTTCCTATCACTGCCAGCATGAACCCAAGTAAGAGGCTTAGGGAGAGTCCCTCTCAGCTTCAAAAATCAAAATCAAACCTCATTTTCTGGTCACTGACACTAGGAAAACCCGTATATCAGCAGCAAGCTCTGTTCTGCTGCATGTACCTTTGGTCTTTGTAAGAAGAAAGAGCTTAGCACATGGCAGACACCCAGTAAAACTGGCTGCCTGGACCTGCTGCAGGATGAAGGGAACTTGTGACTGTGACTGTGTGTGTCATAAAAATAGTGATGATTAATTAAGGGAATAAAAAATAAGATTGACTTTTATGGATTAATTAATAGATTGACATTCTTCTGGGCTTTTGGACAATGTGTTAAAAAGCAGAAATCAAGCTCAAATGGCTAAAAGCAGGGAGGAGTTCATATCTTTTAACATCTCTTCTCCCTATTCACTCACACAAACTTTCTTTTGTTTTAATTCTATTCATGAATAATGTTATAGCTACAGAAGAGTTGCAAGAATAATATCAAGAATTCCTATATATTCTTCACCCAGATGACCAATTATGAAGTGTTGCCACATTTGCTTTATTACTCCTCTCTAAACATATGTGTGTATTACTATTTTTTGAACTATTTAAAACTTAATAGCAGACACCATGCCCTTACTCCTAAATAGCTCAGCATGGATTTTGTAAGAACAATAACTCTTATATAACCACAGTACAATGATTAAATTTAGGTAACTTAGCATTGAGACAATACCGTGATATAATCTACAGTGCATATTCAATTTTTTTAATTGCCATATTCATGTCCTTTATGGATATTTTTTCTCTGATCCAGGACCCAAAGGGGACCACACAGTGCATGGAGCAGTCATGTCTCCTTCATCTCCCTTCATCAGAACTTCAGCCTTTCATTGTCCTTAAAGATCCTGGTAGTTATGAAGAATACAGGCCACTTCTTTTAAAGAATGGCCCCCAATTTAATTTTGCATGACATGCTTTTATATTAGATTCAGGGCCCACATTTTTGGCAGGAATCCTGCTTGAGTGATGTGTTCACAGTGAATCCCTGAGTCTCCATGAGTCAGGAGGCATCTGTGTCACTCCATTCGTGTTGCCATCACAACATACCTGGTATTGGATAATTTATAAAGAACAGAAATTTATACCTCATAGTTTGGGAAGTCCAAGATCGAGGCACCAGCAGTTTCAGTGTCTGGTAAGCGCTTGGCCTCTGCTTCCTTGCTGCTGTGTCCTCCAGAGGGGACGAACACTGTGTCCTCATGTGTTGGGCAGAGGGCAAAAAAGCCCAGCTTGCTCCCTCCAGCCCTTTTATGAGGGCATTAATTCCATTCACAAGGACCGAACTTTCACGGCCTAAGCAAAGGCCTCACCTTCTAACAGCATCACCTTGGTGATTAGGTTTCAATATACTAATTTTGGAGGGACCCATTATACATTCAAACCATAGCAGTGCCTGATACTAGTTAATCCCATAGTTGTGAATGATAATTTCTCTTACTTGGTAAGGTAATGTCTGCCAGATTTCTTCAAAAATCACTGTTTTAAAGAAGAAAACAAATATATTATAAATATTTGAGTCTTCCATAAACAAATATACAAATTTAACACAATCTCTTAAAATCTCCTGGCAAGTTTCCTTCCTTCAGAAGTAGACAAACAGATGCATTAAAAAAAAAAAAAAAAACAAGCAAGCATAGCCCAGGAAAACTCTAAAACAGAAGAAAAATGAGGAGGGATTGGTCTCCCCAGCCTTTAAAACTCATCATAAGGCCTCGGTAATTAGTACTGAATGGCACATGAATAGCCCAATGGAACAGAAGAGAAAGTTCAGAAACAGACCCAAATGTGGCCAGGCACAGTGGCTCACGCCTGTAATCCCAGCACTTTGGGAGGCCGAAGTGGGTGGATCACAAGGTCAGGAGTTTGAGACCAGCCTGGCCAATATGGTAAAACCTCATCTCTACTAAAAATACAAAAATTCGCTGGACATGGTGGCGCACGTCTGTAGTCCCAGCTACTTGGGAAGCTGAGGCAGGAGAATCACTTAAACCCAGGAGGCAGAAGTTGCAGTGACCCGGGATCGAGCCACTGCACTCAACCTGGGCAACAGAGAGAGACTGTCTCAAAAAAAAAAAAAAAAGACCCAAATGTATGTGGGAAATTAATAGATGATAAACATGGATACTCTCATCAGTGTGTAAAGATGGACTTTGTAACGGACAGCACTGGGACAATGGATAGCCCTTAGGGAAAAGGTACAGTTATGGCCACAATATCCATAGTGCATCAAGATAAATGCTCATGGGTCAGTTTCAAATGCAAAAAAGTAAAACTGTAGAAAAACTACCACCAGAAGGCATCTCTTGCAACTCCCCCTGACCCCCAGAATTCAGATCCACTCTCCCATGTCTTCAACCCTGGAAGGCCTCCCTAAGTGGGGCCAAGGTTGAGCCACAACAAGACAGGGGAGGCAATGCGGGAGGTGAAGGTGGGGTATTTATTTTCCTGAGTTTTTCCTGCAGGTCTCTATTTCTCATGATAGATGCCCTGCTCATCTCTGGGCGCCCTGGGCTACACAATTCTCGCTCCTTCCATGCTGCAGTAACTTCTCCGTCGCCTGTGGCCTAGGAGTCATGACTCCTCTGTTGCTGCTATGTCTTGATTTTAGGACCACCCCCGGGAGTCCCCTAAAACTTGCCCACGCCCTTGCAATAAACTTTTGTAGGGCTTATGTAATTCACCCTTTTATCTATAAACCTCTCTTGAATTATCCTAACTCCAGTGTGCCATTTGCTTCCTGTTAGAACTCGGATTGATAGAATAACCTTGGAGTAGATTGGCATATTTAACTCTGTCTCAAAATCTAAAAGCCATAAAGGAAAGAGTAATAACTGTGAATGTAAATTAAAAAAAAAAACTGTATAGAAAACGAAAACCAAAGCACAACACAAACAGAAAAGACAAAAACTAGGGGAAATGTGTGTAGCTCATGACGCAGAAAAGTACTTTTCTCCAAAACACACGAAGCGCTCCCAGAAATGAAAGATAGAATGACCACAGATTAATTTTTAAAAGTGGGCAAAAGTCATGGGAAGTTTACAGAACAGGAAATGCAGATGACCTGAAATCCTTGCAAGCATTCATAATTAGAGACATGAAAAATCAAAACTACACTAGGAGATGACTTTTCCTTAATCAGGTGGATAAAATTCCAAAAGTTTGACCAAACCCTCTGTTGGCTAGGCACTCAAAAGGCAGGCACCAGTGTCTGTTCTCAGTGAGATTGCAAAATGGGGCATTCCCTATTAAGGGCAATCATCATCAAAATTTCAAGGGTCCTCCCTCTGACACAGCAACCCCACTCAAGGGATTATATCTGACAAGTATGAACTGACACATGACAAGATTATTCACTGCAGCCTTGTTTGTGATACTAAAAACTTGGAAACCACTCAAGCGTCCATGTCAAAGGAACTGTCTAAATTAACCTATGATTTGCTCACACAGTGGAAAGCCCTGGGACTCTCAGGCTTTGAATATAACTGAGCTCGGTTTGAATCTTGGTGTTCCTCGCTGGACAAATGACAACCTCACTGAGTCAGTGTGCATACACATACACAGGATTTCAGCGGTGTTTACTTCACAATGTTGTTGTGAGGACTGAGTTAGGTACTGTATGTCCTTTGAAAGTGCTGGCTCATGGGAAATACAAGACATTGTTATTATTTTTACAGCTTTAAGGCAGATACATTGAAAGATAAGAATTTAATGGCCCATGTAAACCTTTTTACTGAAAATTCTCCCTGGAAATGAAATTACTGTCTTCCAAATAAATACCGAACCTTCTATTTTGAGATGCATTGCTTAGGCCTCTTCACTCTGCCGTGGTTCTGGCATTTAATAAACCTCCATTAAGGATTTAGAAAGTCAAGGCAGGTCCTTTATTCTCAACAAATACAGCACTGGCTTTTCTTCTGTCTTCTCCTGTTTTTCCTCTTTCTTGTTCTCTCTTCAGTTTCTCCTTTCCCTTCTCTCCTCTCTCATTTCTGTTTCCTCTTCTGCTTTTGCCTCCCTTTCCCTGGGTCTCTGTGGCCATAAATGACCCAAATGTTAAAAACAGAAGTGACCTTGGGAGGCCATCAGTCGAAGCCACTGGTGTGGCAGATGAGCAAATCAAGCTCCAGAGGAAGTCAGGGTTTACCTAGGGCCACCCCTCCAGGCGGTGGCAGACAGGACCAGAGCTAGCTTCTGCATCAGTGTTCTTGTCACTCGGCCTCTGGAGGTCACCTCCTACCAGCGTTGTCCACACCATGTCCTGAAGGGAGACACCACTCCTTAATGTCTCCTTCTGTGTTCAGAAAGTAGACAGGCAGGAATCACTTTTTCACTCGGGAGTGTGAGATCAAACACATGATACTTTTGCAATGTCAGTGGTTAAAGTGTTTTTCAAGGTGATGGATACAAAGCACAGGGCAGGAGGGTGCTCAGGTCTCCAAGCTTCAAGGGTGTGGACAACTGCATCTCACCGGGCTTTCCAGCTTTATGCCACAAACAATAGAAGTATGTTCCCAGCACCATCTCCTCTCCCTAAAGACCTGGCTACTGTATCTTGAGTGCTCAGCCTGGAAGCTGTGGGACAAGAACCAATTTTAGAGTAGAAAAGGGAATGAAGAACAGCCTTAGCGGCCACCTCTCCAGACAAGACATTTTCTCCCTGCCAGCCACTACGTTGTGGGTTTTACACACAGAGCAGGTTAGTGTCACAGGGCACAAAACGCAAATGTGCAAAAAGGCCACATTTTCACTTTAACTGCATTTCATTTCTACCTCAAGCCTCCATTCTGCTCAGAGGCAAAAAAGTTAATGCAATGACTCCCCAGACAGTCATTTCACGTGAAATGCAGCCAATCCAGTGCTGACTCCTTCTCTCCCAGCGCATGTCGATGTTCTGAGTGACGTGCAGGCAGCATTCAGCTGTTGGGAGAGGGGTCTGGTTGAGGTCATCTCCCGCTCTGCTCCCATGCACACCGGGGTGTGCTTCTCCTGATTCACCCTTGGGAGCTAGAATCAGTCCCCACTGGCATCTCCCAGGAAATGTGAGGGCTTGGCATCCTCTTGCACAGCAGCCTATGCGTTCTTCTGTTTCCTCTCCCCAGCCTGGAGGAGCCTGTGGCTTTGAGAGATGAAGCCAGCTGGACTTCCTGGGTCGAGTGAGGAGAACTTTTCTGTCTTACAAGAGGATTGTAAAACACACCAATCAGCACTCTGTAACTAGGATTGTAAAACATGCCATTGAACTCTCTGTAGCAAGCAGGGGATTGTAAAATGCACCAATCAGTGCTCTGTAAAAACGCACCAATCAGCACTCTACTCTGTAGCTAGCAAGAGGATTGTAAAATGCACCAATCAGTGCTCTGTAAAATGCACCAATCACTGCTCTGTAAAATGCACCAATCAGCACTCTGTAAAACACACTAATCACTGCTCTGTAAAATGCACCAATCAGCGCTCTGTAAAACGCACCAATCAGCAGGATCCTAAAAGTAGCCAGTCGCAGGGAGGATTGAAAGCAGGGCACTCTGACAGGACAGAAAGGGAACACGGGAGGGGACAAATAAGGGAATAAAACTTGCCACCCCCTGCCCCGCCCCTCCCCTCTCCCAACCCCCCCGTGTCCAACCCCCCCTCCCCTCTCCCAACCCCCACCTCCCCCCCAGCCAGCAGCGGCAACCCGCTGGCATAACCCTCCATGCTGTGGAACTTTGTCTTTTCGCTCTTGGCAATAAACCTTGCTACCACTGGGTTCCTACCATTTTTAAGAGCTGTAACACCACAAAGGTCTGCAGCTCCATTCTTGAAGTCAGCGAGACCACGAACCCCCCAGCAGGAACCAACTCAGAACACAGCTTCACCAGCTCTCACTCAGGCTCACTTCCAGCTCTCTTCTTCTGGGTACATAGATTACACTTCTCTTTGAAGTTGGGCGACCTTATGTCATGTTTGGGCTGATGAGATCTTTAGCAGAGACATCTCATCAGCCAAAACATGACATAAGGTCGCCTAACTTCAAAGGGGTGAGAAATGTATGTGTGTGACTTCCAGGTAGAAGCCTGTGAGAACCGAGGAGTAAGCCTCCACCTTCCTTTCCCTGTGTCTGGGGTATGCAGTGGCTTTTCTGGCTTCCTAGGTCTTTGGATGAGGACAATGTGAAACAGACACAAGATGTAGCAGAAGCAAGAAACAAAACCTCATTGTTTCAAGTCACATGGGATTTGGGGGCTACTGGGAACCACCTAATAGAGGGGATAATGAAGTGTTCAAATGCTCTCCTGTGCCTCTTGGGGCCAGGGGAGATAGGCGAGTTCTTGGGGACCCTCCGTACGCTGGCCACATGTCCATCTTGTGCCCACCGCTGCTACCAAGGGGCAGAGGTCTTCTCTGTACCTTTTGCTGTGATATTCAACTTCTGGGGTATGAAACACAAGGCCCCCAGACTCTCAAATTCTGAAACTCTTCTGAGGCTTCAATTATCATTTCTCACCAGAGGCAACTTGGTCTACAAAGTGGAAAGATAGGCGGGGCACTGTGGAGTCCACCCACTACCCACACCCGGACCTACCCCTCTGGTTCCCTCTCCACCGACTTTGTCTCAGACATTGATCTAGATCCAAAAGGCGCATCAGGCTGCTAGCCATTGATTCTCTTTCTAATGCATTGTTTATGGCATGAACTTTATGGCTATCTCCTCAGAGGGTAACCTTTTTAGATTCTCAAGCTTATGCTCTTGCAAATCCAAAGCATTTTCTCTCAAGACTATTTCCTTTTCCTCGACAACTTATTTTTTAAAATCATCAAAGAAATATATGTACATGATTAAAATCAAAGAGAACCACAAGCCTTGTGATGAAAACGGACACTTTTAACTCTTTGCCATTCTAGTATTTACAGCCTTAATTCTAAATAATATTATTAAAATATTATTTCTTGATTTATCCATTTTAGACATCATCCAATGACTTCTTACTATGGAAAACGAGCATTTAGTATCTTGCATCTTCTCAGCCCCTCAGTCTGCAGTCCCTCCTCCTCCACCTTCCCAATACTGACTAGATCAATAGTCTGCACTTAACAGTATGATGGTCAGGAACTGTGATTTCATTTATTCCTCACTTACAATTTTAATTTTTCCCCTGAATCTAATAATCTAGTAACACTAATAGTTATCATTTGGATAGCTAATCATTTTTGTTTGCTTGGTTTGTTGTTAATTCTTCCTTAATCCTTCAACAGAATTATAAAACCTTTCTGAATATTATTGTCTACCTACATGACCAAACACATCAGGTAACTGATCCATTCCATCTTTTTCCAGGATATTTCTCTCCTAAGCCTTCAGTCCTCCTACCGAGAAGACTGAGATTGTGCTGGTCCCCACATGCCTCTGCCAGAGGTGGCCTGTGCTTCTGTCTGCTTTGGGATGCTCTGTTCCCTGGAGCCCCTGTCTTCCTCATTCTTGGTATACCGCTTTATTTTCCTCTAATAACTCAGAAGAAAGGGTACATGAGAGTAGATGTTTTTAAATCATGCCTCACAAGAGAGACATCCTCTCTCTGGATGGATAATTTAGTAAGATAAGAGTCATTTCCCCCTGAATTTCTGGCTTCCATTATGGCTCTGAGAGGCCCCTATGAAATTCCAATTCTCTTGCCTTTGCATGTGAACTTTTCTTCTCCTCTCTGGAAGCCTTTAGTACCGTGTCTTGTTATTAGTGTTTTAATATTTCAGCAGTGTGTTTTAGTGAGGGTGCTTTCTCATCCACCGTGTTGGGCATTCTGTGGGCCTCTCAGTTTAGACATTCATATATTTCATAATCAAGCTGTGCACTTCAGATTTGTGCATAGTATTTATATTTGCATGGTGTTATATTTGCATATCAATAACATTTTTAAGAACAGGAAAGGGGAGAGCCTACTTGGAGCTCAAGAGCTGAGCTGTTAACCCTTTTGTAGCTATCCCCCACAAATCCCTCCCCGAAGGCCACACACACTTTGAGAGAACAGAGGGCAAAGGTGATAGAAATTGTGGTTGGGAAGGAGCGTGCATATGGGGAGAAACTCGGCTAATATATTGCAGAATTCTGTCTTGCCACGTTTACCTGGTTTATTTAGGCCTTACAGTTGCTCTGCAAGGTTGGTGTTATTATCCCCAGTTTACCAATGAGAAAATCAAGACTCAGACCATTTGAGGAACTTCTCTAAGATCCCACTGCTAACTCAGCTTTCAGCCTGATTTGGAGTCTTGCTGACCCTGAAGCTCTTCTTCTTCTTCTTCTTTTTTTTTTTTTTTTGGCTGAAAACGTTTCAAGTTTTATAAACCCACAGATCAAAGGCACTGAACAAGCAGCCTAAGCGCATAGTGTAAACACAAACAGAACCTCACCAGGGCACTTTGTAATCCAGTTTCTGAAAACCAGTGACAAGAAGAGTATCGTTAAAAAGAGACAGAGAGGGGGATAAAAAAAAAAATTAAACAGAGGAACAAAGTCTCAGGCAAGGGGCTGCTTATCAGAAACTAGCAAGCCAGGGGACAATGGAATGATATATTTTGTTTTTTTAAACTTCACATTCTTAATCAATAGAAAGAATAGGCCACCAGCTGCTGAAAGGAATGTTCTGTGAGTACCACATGTCAAACCTCAGACTTGAGATCCTTTTGTTTTTTACTTTCTCTCTTTCTGTTCCCTTACAAGGATGGTGAATCTTCTAGGTAAACTCAGATGAAAACCTAAGCTCTCTGAGGCCACAGAAAAGTATTGTTTTCTTCCATGGAATCCAGCAAAGATTAGTAATCTAGAGAATACGTTTTTAATTGACTAAGAATGATCTTGTTCTCCTGCCCCTGTGATTCTAAGCTTATATTGTATCGGCATTGACCACATCTCCATAACTTTGGAGGCTGGCAGAGAATACCCCACTGGATCCCCTTCCTTTTTAAAAACAGATTTCTTTTGGAGGTGATCTGGGACTCCTTCACATAAACAGGAAGCATGAACAAACCTGCTGAGTCCCTGTGGGTTTTCCCCATTGGGCTAGTTGTCATTTTTCCAGCTGATTCCCAAATGTTTCTTTTCCAATTCCATGGTGAAAAGTAGGCCGGGCACGTTGGCTCACGTCTGTAATCCCAGCACTTTGGGAGGCCAAGGTGGGCGGATCACGAGGTCAGGAGATGGAGACCATCCTGGCTAACACGGTGAAACCCCGTCTCTACTAAAAATACAAAAAATTAGCCGGGCGTGGTGGCGGGCGCCTGTAGTCCCAGCTACGCGGGAGGCCGAGGCAGGAGAATGGCGTGAACCCGGGAGGCGGAGCTTGCAGTGAGCCGAGATCGCACCTCTGCACTCCAGCCTGGGCGACAGAGTGAGACTCCGTCTCAAAAAAAGAAAAAAAAGAAAAGTAAACTAAGCATTTTGATTTCTCTAGTGACACAGAAGTCTCAATGAAGTAGAACTATTCATTAGTGTAATAAAAATCCAATGGAAATGGAGGTAAATATTTCCCTGATAAATGAAAACTGCAATTGGATTCTCTTTCCACAATTAAATTTGCTAGCTTAGTATCCTGGTTTTGCAACATGGTGATTAATACATTAAACCCATTAAACCCTAAGTAACTCTTTACATCTGTTTGCATATTTTTTTTAGAAGCGCACACAGAATTAGTCTGAACCAAAGGTGTAATTTATTTGTCTGCAGTCTGAGTCACCGAGTTCCCTCAGGGTGTCTTTCAACTTGTTTTTTTTAAATCTCTATGGAGTATTTTTTTTTTTCAAAACACATGATCTGTTTAGAAACAGGCTACCCAGCACAGAACCAAACCTGTTCTACTGTTTTCTATTTTAGAATTTGCTTACATGACTTAAAAAATTTTAAGGCTCTGTATTTTACATGTTTTCACAGCTCTGAATTGAGAAAAGTAATGCAAGCTTGTCTGACCCATGGCCCACCGGCCACATGCAGCCCAGAACAGCTTTGAATGCAGTCCAACACAAACTCGTAAACTTTCTTAAAACACTACGAGATGTTTTCGCAACTTTTTTTTTTTTTTAGTTCATCAACTATCATTAGTGTTAGTGTATTTTGTGTGTGGCCCAAGATAATTCTCCTTGTTCCAGTGTGACCCAGGGAAGCCAAAAGGTTGGACATCCTTGAAGTAATGAAAGTTGATACCATGGCTGCTTTATGGCAGAAGTCAGAAATTGCCTCCCTCCATTGATGTGCTCGTTAGTATTGGAAAGGCAAATCAAGAAGTTAGGAGAGGCTGCCTTCACACAGCCTTTCAAATATATGAAGTGTTATGGAATTACAGCGTTAGATAATATTTTACCTGAAGTTCCAAAAGAGTTTTCTTCCTATTTACTTAGCATTCAGCCTTGAGTTGAAAGAGAATCAAAGATATACGCAATTATTAAAACCCAGATATAAGACCACAGTTTTTTTGCAGAGACTTCTAGAATATTCATGCAACCCTATAGTGTGCGGCCAAGAAGACACCAGAACTCAAGCTGCAGGCTCGTTAGGAACGTACCCTCTCTGAGCCTTAGTTTCCTCATGTAGAAATGGGGATAACACCTGGCAGGCCCACTTTATGAAGCTGTGTTTGGGTCCAAACGGCTTAACATCTAGAGAAGCCCTCTGCTGTGCATAAGGGTGTCCTAACAGAGGCATTGCCATGTGGTTTTTAATTACTGATCTTAAACAGTGATCTCCATAGAGAGGCCTGCACCTGGACCCATTGCAGTGCAAGAAAGTATCAGAATGACTAGAATGTTTACTCTTGACCTCTAATTTCTTTCTATGTTTGTGTTTCTATGTTTTCTATATGTGTGGACTGTGTGATTTGTGTGTGCTTGATGGTGGACTGGCTTGCTCCTTGTCAGTTCCAATTTTCTTCTGGTTAGACTTTCTAGATGGCAGAGACCATAAGGCTGAAAAATCACCCTTCCCAGACTCCCAGGCTCCTATGGCTAAGGTTTCCCGAGGTGATTTGGCTTTGCATGTTTGCCATGTTTCCAGACTCTGCCAACTGGATGCTTTAACACATGCCCTGCATGGAGATGCTGAACATGCCTTATACTGGACAACCCAGTAAGATGCCCGAGTCACTGTGCCTTGGCCTCCTGCTTCCCTTGTTGCTCTCCCCTTCCTTGGGGAACAGCTTCCTCTCAGGGGCTTGCTTTTCAAATACAAACCAACCAACCAAGCCAGAGTTCACACCTCCAACAACCTCCATTTTCAGGCTCTCACCCACTGCCCCAATCACCCCAGGGCGGGCACCGGATAGCCAGGGGCGGTCCTATGCCCACAGCCTACTGAAATTTTCCAAACTGGCCAATCCTAAACCTGCTTACCCTGCCTGACCTGTTCCTTCCTGCAGAACCACCATGAAGGCTCTGACCCATGCCTTCCCTGCTCCCTCTGCCCCCAACTTACCTTGGTGCTTCTCCATGTGGCCCCCATCGCATGGTATGCCCCCTCCTCTTGGGAACTGTGATTAATAAGCTTTGTTGTTGTTGTTGTTGTTGAGACAGAGTTTCGCTCTTGTTGCTCAGGCTGGAGTGCAGTGGCGCTGTCTTGGCTCACTGCAACCTCCGCCTCTCAGGTTCAAGTGATTCTCTTGCCTCAGCCTCCCAAGTAGCTGGGATTAGAGGCACGCACCACCACGCCCAGCTAATTTTTTTTTTTTTTTTTTTAATAGAGATGCAGTTTCTCCATATAGGTTGGGCTGGTTTCAAACTCCTGACCTCAGGTGATCCGCCCACCTCGGTCTCCTAAAGTGCTGGGATTATAGGCGTGAGCCACCACACCCGGCCAATAAGCTGTCTTTTCAATGCCAGTTGTCTCCTGATCTGTTGGCCTAGTCCAGTTGGATCTGAATCAAGTCTTTAATTTCATCCAATTTCAGTCTTTTGCTGCTTTCCAGCTTCACCTGAGGTGGCTCAGAGACATGGAGGGGGTTGTGGGGGCACAGGCAGCCTCCTGACCAGTTCTCTGCCTTACTCCTCCGCTTTCTCCACTGCCCTGATGTGAAACAGAAAAAACAGAAGATGTGAATCAGGAGGGGAGGGCGAACACACAGCCTTCCACATTTTTAGGTATTTGTTGTAGCAACATCCCCCTTCTGGTAACCAATATCTTAATCCATTTATGCTGCTATAACAAAATACCTCATGCTGTGTAATTTACAAACATCTTAAATGTATTTCTCACAGTTTGGAGGCTGGGAAGTCCAAGATAAAGGCACTAGCAGGTTTGGTGTCTGGAGAGGTCTCTGTCTCTGCCTCCAAGATGGTACCTTGCATGCTGCTTCCTCTGAAAGAGGGGACAAAGGCTGTGACCTTACATGCAGAAGGGACAGAATGTCAGAAGAACCCAGCTAGCTCCTTGCGGCCCTTTCATAAGGCACTAATGCCATCCATTATTAGAACCCTCATGGTCTAATCACTTCCTAAAGCCTCCACTCCTTGATACTGTGGCATTAGGGATTCAGTTTCTACATGTATCTTGGAGGGAACATAAACATTCAAGCCATCTCATAGAGCTGCTATTCAACTCTTCTAGCCCTTCTGCCCAAAGTAAGCTCTGAGCTCTCATCTACAAATCCAAAATCAAAGGACTCAGTGAAATGAAGGGGAGGTTTTTCCTTTAACAGTACAGCATTTTGTGTTTACTCTCTAACGCATCCTTTAAGAGAGTCCCTCCTCCTTAAAAAGCAGATAGGATTTAATTTCAAATAGTCATTTGTTTCTTTTTTTTTTTTTTTTTTCCTGAGACGGAGTCTCGCTCTTTCACCCAGGCCAGAGTGCGGTGGTGCCATCTCGGCTCACTGCAAGCTCCGCCTCCTGGGTTCACACCATTCTCCTGCCTCAGCCTCCTGAGTAGCTGGGACTACAGGTGCCCACCACCACGCCTGGCTAGTTTTTTTGTATTTTTTTTAGTAGAGACGGGGTTTCACCGTGTTAGCCAGGATGGTCTTCATCTCCTGACCTCGTGATCTGCCCACTTTGGCCTCCCAAAGTGCTGGGATTACAGGCATGAGCCACCACGCCCAGCCTTCCTTTTTTATATATTTATGGAAGTAGGCCCAATGAGCTATCTGCTTGGAAAGATTTTATATTTCAATGGGTTAGATTCATGTAAATAAGTGTTTTAAATTAAGAAAGAACCACCCCTTACCCCAGAAATTAATATAACATTGTTTAATTTGCTTAGCTATTCTACAGATATCCTTATCTTTGTCAAGATGCTACAACTAACGTCTTATCAACTGTTCTTAAAGGAATGATGAAGATTTTAAGGAGAGACATAATAAACAGGGTAAAAGAAAGTAAATTTTATTTTCTATTCATCCAGACTTCATTATGCTCATGGGTCTCCCTCTCACCTCTGATTTGAACCCTGTTTATTGAATAAGGCTCCATTTTTCACTCTTATCTCATGGTGCCTCTCAGCATATTCCCTTAACACTTCCAGGGCATCTCTTGTAAGCTGGAAACAGCTTATCCTATTTTGTTGTTAGTCATCTACTCCCCTATAAGCCTTCAAATTGGTTACTCAAGTTTGCACACTTTAGGTGTTGGTTTTCCCAGTAGACACCAGAGTTCACTCATATGCAATGGTCATTCTACAGTACAAATTTGCTTTCCTGGTGACTGTCAAGATGAAAAAAAGAGTCAAATGTTTGATAAGCCAACTAGTTAGCACATGATCTCTTCTTTCTTTCTTTCCAGGTTTGGGGGTTTTTGCTTTTGTTTTTCGTGATTCAAGTTTTTATCTCTGCTCTTGAGATTAATTCCCCAAATTAGTGTCAAGTGTCTTCTTTTAATCATCTCAAAAATAATGGTAATAATGAAGCTGGAATGTTAGGAAGGAAGGAAGGAAGGAGAAAGAAAGAGAGAAAGAGAAAGAAGAGAGAAAGAAAGAAAAAGAAAGAATGAGAAAGAAGGAGGGAGGGAAAGAAAGAAAAGAAAGAAAGAAAGTCAGAAAGAGAAAGAAAAATAAGTGAGTTAGGGAGGGAGAGAAGGAATAGAGAGAGAAAGGCAGGGGGTGAGAAGGACAGGAAAATAGCATTAAAGCAGGCCAAGCTTTGAGTGTTTCACTAGCTCATCATGGCACAAACTGCAGTCTCCATCCAGAAAGCCTGTACCCCTCAGTGACCTATTGCATTCAGGCTAGCTTTGTGTGGAACACAAGTCATTGAGGGGCCGCATAAAAGCTTATTGATTATCAATGCTCCATTCTGTGCTAGGTACTTAGACAAGGGGGGGAAAGGAAAAGTATAAATAAGCCCCAAATTTACTTCTGCAGAAAGAAATGGATGAAATACCGATATGGCACCTTCCCAGCTTAGATCATTTCTTATACTCATTAAAATGCAAAAGCAGTGGTCCAAGTGTGTCCTCCAGGAAACTTCCAGTTTCACTAGTGGATCTTCCTAACCTTTTTCTCCACTTCCAGCAAAAGTTCTCTGAGGGTTGGAGGGAAAGAAAGGCAAACACTGAAGGTGGTGGTTCTCAACCTTGGGCATCCATCAGAATCACCTGGGGGACACAGCCCTGGGCCCCACTCCGTTAGGTCTGAGTCAGCCCAATAATGCATTTCTAACAACTTCCCAGGTGTTTTAGTTCATGTGTGCTACCGCAACAAAATACCACAGACTGGGTTATTTATTTATTTATTTAGAAACAGAGTTTCGCTCTTGTTGCCCAGGCTGGACTGCAATGGCGCGATCTCGGCTCACTGCAACCTCTGCCTCCCAGGTTCAAGTGATTCTCCTGCTTCCGCCTCCCGAGTAGCTGGGATTACAGGCATGTACCACCACACCCGGCTAATTTTGTATTTTTAGTGAGATGGGGTTTCTTCATGTTGGTCAGACTGGTCTTGAACTCGTGACCTCAGGTGATCCACCTGCCTCAGCCTCCCAAAGTGCTGGAATTGCAGGCATGAGCCACCACTCCCAGCCCAGACTGGGTAATTTATAAACAATAAAAATTTATTTCTCATGGTTCCAGAGGCTGGGAAGTCCAACACCAAGGCACCAGCAGGACTAGTGTCTGGTGAGGGCAGCTCTTTCCTTCCAAGATGGTGTTTTCTTGCTGCAGCCTCTGAAAGGAAGGTACACCGTGTTCTCACATGGCAGAAGGCAGAAGAGCAAGCAAGAGTTCTCTTTAACCTAGAGCCCTCTTATGAGGGTGCTAATCCCATTCATGAAAGTGGAGCCCTCATGACTTAATCACTCCCAAAGGCCATACATCTTAATACTGTTGCATTAGGGATTAAGTTTCAACATGCATTCTGCAGGGGACACTGTTATTCAAACCATAGCACCAGGGGATGTGAGGGCTGCTGGTCTGGGGACCACTCTTTGAGAACCACTGGCTACACTGGTTACAAGGCAGTAAACCATAATGGTGACGAACATAGATTCTGAAAGACCACCTCTATCTAAACCCTTGCTCCACAACTCACTAACTCCGTGACCCTGGGCAATTACTTATTGGTGCCTCATCTTTAGAAGGGAAATAATGCGAGCACTTCATAGTACTGCCTACTTCATAGATTGTAAAGAGAACTGACTGACTTAATAGGGATAAAGCACTTAGAATAAATGCCTGTCACATGGTAAAGACCATGTACAAACATTAGCTAATATCTATAAATTTTTAACATGTTTGTTGTTTGTTCTATGATTCCTTTCTGGCCCTGAGTGAGCAAACCTGTTCGTTTGAATGTCTTTTATGTGAACCCGCATTCTCCTCTCAGCTCTGTAAATTATTTGCTGAGTGACTGAGACAAGTCAAAGCATACCTGGGCCTCAGTTTCCTCATCCATAAAATAGGAGGGTTGACTGGCTGACTTTCAAGGTTCCTTTTTATAGTAAACACGAAATGACTTCTCTAGCTTACTGGAGGCCCTTTGAATGTTCTGGGCTGTAACAAGCTTCTGAGTCAGCACATCTTGAAGAGTACCGCAGAGCTGATTGTGCATGGATTGCTTCTGAGTGTCCCTTGTCTCTTTCAGGTGTGTTCCTTGCCTCCCCCACAATCATGGAGGAAGGAAAAGAAAGAGGGCTGAGCCAGCTGCTGCGAAAGCCCCTCACATATTCCTTAGGGCAGCCCTTGGGAGCAGGTGGCATGGTCCCATTTTCCAGATGAGGAAATTGAGCTTAGGAAGTCGCCTGCTCAGTTAGCCAGTTGGCATGGGATGGAGCTGAGATCTGAGCCTGTGAAAGGGGCTGGGGGTGGAGAGGTAAACATAAAAACAGCCAAGACCAGAACACCCCCAGAGGGTCCATCCAGAGTGGGCACACTCCTGGGCCAGCTGCCAAACCAGTTCTCAGTGCCTGTTTGTCACAATCCTCCCAGAATAACCAACATTTTATTTTCTTCCATAGTTTCAGGAGGGCACGTTCTTCTTCTTCTTTTTTTTTTTTTTTTTTTTTTTGAGACAAAGATTCACTCTGTAGCCCAGGCTGGAGTACAGTGGTGCCATCTCGGCTCACTGCAACCTCCGCTTCCCGGGTCTCAATTCAAGCAGTTCTCCTGCCTCAGTCTCCCGAGTAGCTGGAATTGCAGGCATGCACCACCATGCCCAGCTAGTTTTTGTATTTTTAGTACAGATGGAGTTTCACCATGTTGGCCAGGCTGGTCTTGAACTCCTGACCTCATGATCTGCCCACCTTGGCCTCCCAAAATGCTGGGATTACAGGCATGAGCCACCATGCCCAGCCGGGAGGGCACGTTCTTAGAAAGCTCAGGATGACAGGCAGTTCCTACAGGGTAAGCAGTACCTGGGTGTGGAGAGCCCAGAGTTCCGTTAACTTCCCCAAATTTTACAGGGAACAAGAGGCACCAGCTGCCCCGCCTGTACTTCCCTCCACACACCTATTTCCCCTTCTCGTGGTTAGGACACCTCTCCACAGCCCTCCCCCAACCCCTGTGCCCACGAGAGTCATCACTCATCTGTGATGACTTGGCCCATCACTGCCCCTCCAAAAACTCTGAGACCTGTGTTCTCATTTGGCAATGCCTGCTCCTCCGTCCTTGCAGCCTGCAGAGCACCCTACCCATCTCTACCTTATCCCTGGGACACCTTAAAGTACTCTTACCTCCTCCTGTATGACTCCATCTATGATATGAAGCTGTACTCCACACCCCAAATTCATGTGTTGAAGCCCTAACCCCAAGGGGTAATTAAATTAGTTCGGCCAGGCACAGTGGCTCACACCTGTAATCCCAACACTTTGGGAGGCCAAGGTGGGTGGATCACTTGAGGTCAGGAGTTCAAGACCAGCCTGACCAACATAGCAAAACCCCGTCTCTACTAAAAATACAAATATTAGCCAGGAGTAGTGGTGCATGCCTGTAGTCCCAACTACTTGGGAGCACAAGAATTGCTTGGACCTGGGAGATGGAGGTTGCAGTTAGCTGAGATCATGCCACTGAACTCCAGCCCAGGTGACAGAGCGAGACTTCATGTCAAAAAAAAAGTCATTAGGATGAACCTTTATCCAGTCAGACTGATATCCTTATAAGAGAAGATTCAGACACAGAGACACACACAAATACAACCCCTTCACCCCGACACCCCAAATACTTGTAGCAAACAGCTTGGCATCTTAGGGATGGAGTAGTGTTCATCCAGGAACTGCTCACGCCCAGGGTAGCCTGGCTCTTAGGAGGCCTTGGTAAAGGTATGCTGGCTGAACCAATGCATGGGTATCCATCCTGCTCTTTCATTATAAAGCTCCTATTGTATGCCCTCACCTGATACAGGGGATGCATGAGATAAACTGAGACCCCCTCACTGCAGCTTAGAGCTGTGCATGAAAAATAATGGGTGAATGAAATTGGCTGAATGAATTGGTTTTTCTTTAATGTGGTGCAGGGAAAATGAACAAATTGCAACCCCTGACATCCAGAGACTGGCCTGATACTCACAGCTGGGCATACACCGCAGCACAGAATATCAATCTCAGATGCCAGTCTGCAACCATGACACAATGAGGCAAGGTGACGGCATAAGCATAGACCAAAATCAAGGTCACCATGCCACCCACAAAAATATCCCCCTAAAGCCCTTCTTTTGGCTAAAATGAATGACTACCACTTTGCTGATGACAGCTCTGTCTTGTTCTCATCTCCCTTCCTTATAGAGAGTTGTTGAGACACCCAATCACAGACTTGCCCATCTTTCTGACAGTATCTAATCTAGAGCCGACCTCCACTTCTTGACAGCCTCCCCAAATCATCCAACCAAATCTCAAATCCTATCATGGAACCTTCCTAACACCCTCCTATGGAGACACCCCATGTCTCCCATGGTGGGCGTCCTCCCACACTGCAACTCGTGATAAACCCAACTTGTTCAGTGGCAGCGGTGCTCCAGGGGTCTCAGGCTGGACCTCCCTGACAGTGCCGTTCAGTTGGCTTCCGTTTGATGACCCACAGGCCAGCTGCCAAATTTGTGAGAAGAGGTGTCGAGAGGATGATAAAATGGAGGCCCTGAAGATGAAGAAGAGGGTTTGGATGATTTCTGCAGAGAAAGAGAAAGAGGAGTTTGGAGGGCGTGTTGGCATAGGTTTCCTCTGTAAGGCAATGCAGCCCTTTCCTCCATCTCCCAGCCTTCAGCAAAAGATGGATGGTTCATTAAGCTCTTGAAAGAAGTTGGGTGTGGGGCAGAGAAGGCTGGATCTTTAGCGGGATGAAGAGATTGGACTATAAGCTGATACCACAAGAGAGGTAGATGGCCCCAGAATGCTCCACCTATCAGGTTATCAAGATTTTCCCTTCACCAGTCAGTCTGCAAATGTCTACAGGACAGACAATTTAATCAAATGTAGTCCCTACAGTACCCTATACTGTGTACTGGCCATGGTGGGTTCTCAAGTCTTGGGTTCGGGGTGAGAGGTCCTCTGTGAGAAGAAACTCTCCCTCCTTCCAAAGAGAGCTGGCCATGTGACCAACCGCCACCCTGCCCACAGCCAGAGGAATTCCCTCTGGGCTCCTGACCCTAGCAAAGCCCATCAATAGGCTCCTGCCAGTGACTCTGCAGATCAGGGATGACAGTGGCCGATGGGCTCCTTCTGGCCCTTTCTCAGGAAGTTTGGCAGTAAAATAGAGAAGAGACAGTGTGAGTATATTCATTTCCTGGGACTGCCAGGAGCTACCACAAACTGGTAGCTTCAACACCAGAGATTATTGTCTCGCTGTTCTAGAGAAAAAAGTTCAAGATGAAGGCATTGGTGGAGTTGATGCCTTCTGAGACCCACAAGGGAAGACTCTATTCCAGGCCTCCGTCCTTGGCTTGCGGGTGGCCATCTTCATGTCCACATGGCACTCTCCCTACACGTGTGTCTCTGCATCCAAATTTCCCCTTTTTACATGGCGTGTTCATACTCATGTATGGAAGCTTTAAAAAGGTTGATCGCATAGATGTAAAAAGTAGAACAAAGGATACTCAGGGCTGAGAAGAATGGGGAAAAGAGGATTAGGGAGAGATTTATTAAAGGATTCAAAATCACAGCTAGATAGGAGGAATAAGTTCTTTTGTCCCATAGTACTATAGGGTGACTATCGCTAACAATGCTCTGTACTTTCAAACAGCTAGAAGGAGAATAGCGAACATTCCCAACACAAAGAAATAATACATGTTTGAGCTGACAGATATGCTGATTACCCTGATCTGATGACTATACACCACAGTTCCCCAATCTTTTTGGCAGCAGGGACTGGTTTCATGGAAGACATTTTTTCCATGGATGGGGTGGTGGTGGATGGCTTCAGGATGATTCAAGTACATTCCATTTATTGTGCACTTTATTTCTACTATTATTACATTGTGATGACATATAATGAAATAATTATACAACTCACCATAATGTAGAAACAGTGGGAGCCCTGAGCTTGTTTTCCTGCAACTAGATTGATGGGAGACAGTGACGGATCATCAGGCATTAGATTATCATAAGTAACTCGCATGCACAGTTCACAACAGGGTTCATGCTCCTTCGAGAATCTGATGCTACTGCTGATCTGGCAGGAGGCAGAGCTCAGGCAGTAATGCAAAAGATGGGGCGTGGCTGTCAATACAGATGAAGCCTCACTTGCTCACCCACAGGCTGCTCACCCCTTACAGCCTGGTTCCTAACGGGCCATGGACCAGTAGCAGTCCGTGGCCTGGGGGTTGGGGATCCCTGCTATGCACTATATGTATTGAAACATCACTGTGTACCCCCGACCCCGTGAATATGTTCAATTATTATTTGTCAATTAAAAGCATAAAATATTTAAAAACCAAATTTCCCCTTTTTATAAGGACACCAGTCGTACTGGATCAGGGCTTACCCTAATGACGTCACTTTAACCTGATTACCTCTGTAAAGACCCTGTCTCCAAATAAGGTCAGACTCTGAAGTACTGGGGGTTAGGACTTCAGTATGTACATTCTGAGGGACACAATTGGACCTATAACAGCGAGCCACCAGCAGACACCCACGGCAGACCCTGAAAGACATCATCTGGAATGTCTCTTTCAAACCTTAGCACATGCAGATTCTGATTTCTTTGTTCTGGGGTGGGCTCGAGGAGTCTTTATTTCTAAAACAAGTGTCCAGAGGATGCTGATGCTGGTGCTGCTGGTCCATGAATCCCACTGGGACTAGTGAGGGAGCAGGACCTCTCCTGGGGCCCCTACTGCCCCCTTGAACAGGACTTGTGGACCTGAAGGATTGAACTGTTCTCAGCAGCTCCTTGGATTCTGTGAGCTTAAGGCAGCTGTTCTCAACTTCGCAGCTCATTGGAACTACCCTGAGAGCTTGAAAAAAGTCATCATGGTTACCTCCCAAAGATCCTGATTTAGCATTTTTAGAAGCTCCCCAGGGGATTCGACGACTGCTTTCAGGGATCCTTCCCACAGTTCATGGATTTACATTTTAGCGGGAACACCTATTACCCAGTGACCCTTATTGTGGGAATTTCAACCACCAGTTTCAATGGTGGGAAAATATCTATGGACAGACAAGTCTTTTGTTCTGCAAATAACAACAGAATGAGGTCATTTTAGTGCTTTGTAAGATCATCCTTGCCAGAAAGTATGGGGTGGGGAGTGAGAATGGGCTAGAGTCTTATTTAGAACAGAGCAATGTATTAAATCCTTATTTTCCAAGAATGCGTTGAGCACTTCTCAAGGTGAGAAAAAGCTCTCACCCTATGCAACACCTGTAATTGTCAAGGGACAGGAAAGAGTCTCTCAGTTGTTGACAATGCCTTAGCAGAATGAGGGTGTCTGGATGGGAGGGGCCTTCTGAGACCAGTCCTCTGGGGACTGTGACTCAGTAGGGACACCTCCAAGACTAAGTGCTTGGAAATCATGAAATATGCTTATGAGACAATTCGCATATGTGGCCTCCAGTGTTGGCCGTGAGAGCAGGAAGCTGAGATTGGGTAAAATAGGAGAAAGTCATTTCAATGACACCATGAAGAAGGTTTTTTAAACATCATATAAAATATGAAAAAATAAAATAAAAACAAGCCAGGCATGGTGGCTCATGCCTGTAATCCCAGCACTTTAGGAGGCTGAGGCGGGTGGATCACCTGAGGTCAGGAGTTCGAGACCAGCCTGGCCAACATGGTGAAACCCCATCTCTACCAAAAATACAAAAATTAGCTGGGCGTGGTGGTGTGCACCTGCAGTCCCAGCTACTTGGGAGGCTTAGGCAGGAGAATCGCTTGAACCAGGGAAGTGGAGGTTGCAGTGAAATGAGATCACACCATTCTACAACAGCCTGGGCAACAGAGCAAGACTCTGTTTCAAAAAAAAAAATTTAAACATTTACAAAAATATTCCCCTGTTAAAGAGTTTTATTTTATTTTTGTCCAAACATATGACATATGAGCATCAAGTTCTAAATACTCTTCAGTGTGAGTGCCACCCTGATATTGTAAATGCCTGCATGCAACTCTTTCTTCCTGACCATAGTCCCTTCTTGGGAAGCCTGTGCTATCTCCATTGAGGAGTCTCCGGTGTCCAGCATGATGCCGGGCACATCGGCCATCACAGACATGATGGAGTCTGTTTGCATGGTTTGCTCCCTGCAGTCCCAGTGCCCTGCAGAGTGCCTGCACACACAGGGGCTCGGTGAGTATTTGATAAATGAGCATCGGCCCATGGAGAAGTGGAAAGTCAAGCTCTCACTAGCCAGAGGCAAGCTCTCTGATTTTTCAGATTATTTCATTCACCCAGATTGGTGCAGCGTTAGCAGGAGGGAGGGTGGGAACCGTGAGAGGTGGTGGCCATGAGCGGCAAGGAGTAGGGTGGTCTTTGGCCCTGACCTTTACTCTTTTCCCTTGGAGACAGTCTGAGCTGCAGCAGCCCAGCCTTCTATCTCCCTGCTCACCCCCGAGTTCAGAGCCAGGAATCCAAGCTGCCTTTCCACAGAGCACTATTTCTTCAGAAGATGCCTGCAGAGTCCTTGTTGTCGACACCGCCTCTGTCTCACACTTTTCTACTGCTTCCCATGCAGTCCTGCACCCAGCTCGCCACACTCCCAGCCTTGCCCTCAAATGACCCTGAAAGCTGCCTTTTTCCAAATGTGGAGACCCAGAACCTCTTAGCCACTGTCAGGAATCTCAGACCAGGACTACACACCCCAAATAGATTTAAAAGAGCACAGCTGACATGTTGGAAACTGATTAGTACTGTGACTTTTGCTCAGCCCAGCTGCCTAAATTGAAATCTATTCACATCAATCAACTAGTAGCTGTTGAATATCTACTGGGAGTTTAAGATTGTGCTAGGTGCTACTGCAGGAGACACAAAAGAAACACAAAACGGTCTGTACAGGGAAGCAGCGTCCTCCTTTTATGGGGTGGCAAGAGTAATGCTGAGGATAGTGGCCAGGTGCTTCATTGTGTTTTGATGTGGATGCTGAAGGTACAGCAGTCGAGGGCCAAGAAGAGGACTGGGTACAGGAGTAGATGGACAAGGTGGGGTTGGGACTTGAGCGGACAGAGTACAGAAAGAGGGAAGCGTCATTGTGTGGGTGATTGTGGGAGCAAAGGTACAGAGGTGAGAAAGAGCATGGTGTCTTAGGGGACCACAAGGAAGCTGGCCTACTTGGACGGAGGGCATGTGTTGAGACTTCTGACAAACCGAGTCAACTGGCTGGGGCAGGGACAGCTGATGGGGGATGTGGAAAGCCTTGCTGTACAGAGCATCAGGACAGTACTCGGGCAAACCAACTTCCTCAGCAGGCCAAATAGGAAATAGACCAGAGGCTGCAGGGCACCAACCAGAGAGGAGCATGGCAGGCACGACGTGGTGCAGGCCTGGAATGGGAAAGGAAGGACCACTCTAAGCTAAGAATGAAGGATTTGGTGACACATTAAATGCAAAGAGCAAAGAAAAGAGAGACTTTAGGGTGCCAGGAGGTAAGAGGTAAAAAGTTTCAGGTAAATTTTAATGGCATAAGCATTAGTTGGAGAGCTATTTTTCTTTCTTTCTTTTTTTAAATTATTAAGTTGTAGTAAAATGTATATAATAGAAATTCACAATGTTAACCGTTTGAAGTGTGCAGCTCATTTCACCATGTTTTGAGACGGAGTTTCACTCTGTCGCCCATGCTTTCTCCCACAACGAGGCTGAGACCCACTGTGGTTAAATGCCTTCCCAAAGGGGCAGGACTAGGATGGGAGGAGAAATTGCATGTCTGAGGGCATTCATGCTGCTGTGAATGCCCATCACCACCATCCAACTCCAGAACTCTTTTCATCTTGCAAAACCGAAACTTCATTTCCACGAAACAGCAACTCCTCATTTCTCCCTCTCCCCCACTTCCTGGCAACCATCATTTTCCCTTCTGTCTCTGTGAATCTGACTACTCTAGGTACTTCATGTAAGTGGAATCATACAGTGTTTGCCCCTTTATGACTGTCTTATTTCACTGAGCATCCTGTCCTCGTGGTTCATCCATGTTGTAGCATGTGTCAGAATTTCCTTCTTTTTATGGCTGAATAATATTCCACTGTATGTATTTTGTTTATTCATTCATCATTGATGGGTACTTGAGTTGCTTCCACCTTTTGGCTATCGGGAATAATGCTGCTGTGAACATGGTGTACCAATATCTCAAGACCGTGCTTTCAATTCTTTTGGGCATATAACCAGAAGCGGAATTTCAGGATCATATGGCAATTCTCTGTTTAATTTTTGGGGGAATCACCAAACTTCTTCCGCAGAGGCTGCACCCATTTTACATTGCCACCAGCAGGGTACAAGCATTCCCACGTCTCCACATCCTCACCATGGAGGGCCTTTAAAATGCAGAGTCTCAGGACCCTTGGATTTTTGGTTCCAGGATCTAGTGTGAAGGCCCACAATCTGGATTGCTAAAGCTCCCCAGCTGATCCTGATGCTGGTGGCCCTCCAAACACGCTTCGGTTGGGGTTTTATTAAGGTTCAGTCACTGGGAGGGCCTTCAGAAGGAGATTCCATCACGTGTATCCACGGTTTGCTGAGTCTTACACATGCCAGGCAGTTGGAGGTAGTCTGAATTGAGCCCTGTATTCCACAACTCCAACTGGTGTCAACACAGCTTAGGAAGAATACATGTGGCATTCCCTCACAGACTCTGATGTGGCAAGTGCAGGGCAGATAGCCTGTGGCCCTCGGTTTGGGAAGCTGTGACATCCTGGAATGGGTGCTGGGTCTCAGACATGCAATTTCCCCACCCATCCTTGTCCTGCCCCTTTAGGAAGGCGTTTGACCATAGTGGGTCTCAGACTTGTTGTGAGAGAAAGCGTGACCTGTTCTCAGAGCTGTACAAAGGGCTAACTCTGATAAAGAATATGGAGGCGGCCAGGTGCAGTGGCTCATGCCTGTAATCCCAGCACTTTGGGAGGCCGATGCGGGCAGATCACCTGAGGTCAGGAGTTCAAGACCAGCCTGGCCAACATGGTGAAACCCCATCTCTACTAAAACTACAAAAATTAGCCAGGCATGATGGTGTGTGCCTGTAATCCCAGCTACTCAGGAGGCTGAGGCAGGAGAATCGCTTGAACCCAGGAGGCAGAAGTGGCAGTGAGCAAAGATTGCACCATTGCACTCCAGCCTGGGTGTTACAGCGAGACTCTGTCTCAAAAAAAAAAAACGTGGAGGCACCTTAGCACCCTGCATACTTATGGAATCCTAGCCACAGCGTTGCAGGCCGCCCTAAGTGGTCTAACAAACAACCGAAGATTCCCTGTTCTCTCCTCATCCCTTGGCAAACGTCTTTCGTACTGGTCGCTTGCCTGCTATGAAGTGTGGGAGGGGTAGCATCCTCTTTGGGTGGCATTGTTTTAGAACAGAGACCAAGAATGGCGAATATTGTATTACAGAGGATTCTTAGCTGTGCGCAGTCTCTGTATGGACAAACGCCTGATTGGGTGGCAGTGTCTGCCACGGGCATGAATCAGCGAGTGTAGGGTGACAGAAATGTATGATTCCTAACCCAGGCTCTGTGGGACCCTGCTCTTGTTTTTCAATTGATTAGGCTTTGGTGACCCCCACCACCACTGTTCAGGATGGGAATCTGTTGTCCAAGGATATAGAGTCATAATGCCAGAGGGCAGTACCTATTTAATGACTAAACCCAAAACTACCATCCTGTCAGTCTTCAGTATTTGCAGAAGCTAACACAGGGCCTTACACTAACTGAATGTTTGATGAGTGAATACCTGCATGCACACGAATGCATTGCTATGAAAGTGTCCCTGGCACTGTACCTCCAGCAGCATATCTTGGATCACAAAGAAAATAGAACAGCAGACCTCTACGTTTCATCTCAGATGAGACAAATATGTAAGATAGCAAACCAATACATAGTCACAAGCCGATTCACCTAGGTTTCCAGGCATCCCCGTTTGGCATGTTCCAGCAGCTCTCTTTCCACTCTGCCATTTGGCGGCTCCTGTGTTGTATTATAATTACATGACTGTGCTGTCCCTGTCACTACAGAATAAGCTCCTTGAGGACAGGAAGCCCCTTTTATTATTCTTAGTTGCCAAAGCCTGGCACAGAATCTCCCACATAGTTGTGGTTGCGTGTGGGATGACTCAACAGACGAAGGAGGAGGCAAGCTGTGAAGCCTCCAGAGCTGGAGAGGCCGGCGATGGCTTCCTTGTTCCCATTCCTTTCCCTATATCTCAGCACCTAAGGGTAGCAGAGCAGGCATCACTTGATTTATTTTGGTCTTTGTGTCTGCGAACGCATACATTAGCTGGCTTTTTAGAAAGAGTGGCTATTTGAAAGCCTGGAATGAGATGTTATTTTGAATGCTTAGAGGGCTAATGACGGGATTAGAAAAATGTCCTCACCCCAAATATGAATTGAGATGCTTCCTGTTTTTTAATGTAAAACATGAAATCAATATAATTCACTGTCATTTTTAATGCCCGTGTACATTACAGAGACGCATTTAAGATAAATGATTTTCAAATGTCTGATCAGTCTGGTTTGAAAGCCTCCATGGAATTAATGTGATATAATGTATTCAAAGCATTTTCAATCCAGGCCCTGCTTCCATCTTTGTTTCCCGTTGTCATCGTCAATGGAAATACAAGTCCACATAAATAGGACATTGCCAATGGGATGTGTTCTGCCCTGACTCAAACACTGGCCTTTAATCTGAATGCTCTTCTTCTAGCTCAGCCCAGATGAATGGTGAGGTCACAGAATAAGCCTCTGGAGATGTCTACTGTGACCCATGTGCACTGAGGAGGGACAGAGGTGAGTGGCATCAGAGTGTGTGGTTGTGTGTGCATGTGTGTGTGTTTAGCTTCAGATGATTGTACATACCCACAGGGGCAAAATTTTAAAATCTGTTGGATGCAACAAAATTTGATTAAAAAATCTGTACGTTGAAAAGTTATTCTGCCACCTCCTATTCAGTAATTTCTAGTGTGTCTCTCCAACATTCCTTTATGAATATGTAGACATATCTTCTTATTTTTACCCCATAAAGGATATTATAAAGGAGAAAAAGTAATGGCAGTTTATATTTATTAGTATTGATGACAGGCTGTAAGTGTTCATTTGCTCCTTGAATCAATTCTAAGAGGTATTAGTATTATTCTCACCTCATTTTATAAATGCAGAAACTAAGGCAAGTAGAAACCGAGTTAAGTAACTTGTGCAGGGGAGTGTGGAGGCAGAATTTGAGCCAGGCGGAGTTGGAACCCCTAATCTCCACTCCCTCACCTCTCAGACAGAGAGAAGAGTCTGTGGGGCTTCTGTTCTCACCAATGGTGGAGTCTTCCCAGTAGCTGGAAAATGCTAAGGATCAAATAAACCATTGTTCCCCAGGTCCTAGAAAAGAGGCCAAGAGGTCCCTGGAATGTGAGAGGCAGGAGCTGTAAGGATAATCCTCAGCCCAGAGCCACCGTGGAGTCAGTCAGTCCTATGGATGCCTCAGTGTCTATGAAGGAGACTTGCGCTGCTCCAAGGTATGTCCAGGATGTGGCAGAAAGGCAACTCCACGTGGGTGGCCCTTCTGTCTCCCCAGCATGGTGTGTGTGCCGCACAGGAGTGCCAGAGCCTAGCAGTGACTGGGGCACCTCTCTCTGTGTTCAGCACCTACAGCAGTCTCTGACATACAAGGTGCTGAATGAATTTATGCCCAGAATAAGAGATGCAAACACTCACTGATCCATTTTAAAAACCATTGCCGACCACTGTGAGCCAGGCACCTGGCTAGAATGGTGGGGATACAGGAGTGACCAGGACGTGTTTCTGCCTCAAGGAGTCCGTGATTTAGTGAGGAACGTGAGCAGGTTCACAGAAAGCTGCAATGTGGGGCCATAAATGCTGCGCTGATGGCACCACGTGTGGGCACGCAGGACGGCCCGCTGTGTCTGCCAGCGTCCTGCTGGGAAACAAATTCCACACAGGTGGTTCGTCTGAAAAGGTGCAGGTGGAGAAGGGGAAACAACTGGGGGTTGCGGTGTAAGAAAATGTGTGTATTTGGTCTTTGTCCCCCGGTTCCTGGCACAGAGCTCCTAAAACTCTTGAGATTTCCTGAGCCATAGGAGTGTATTTTGTTATCTATAACAAGCCCCTTCTGACTACATCTGAGTTTATGCTAATGAGGTAACTGTTGGTGGGCCCCCAGATAGCTTTAGGGGAGGGGCTGCTAGCCAGGGCAGCCAACAACAGGATTAAAGGGCTGGAAATTTCAGACCCACCACTGACCTCTAGGATGTGAAGAGGGTGGGGACTGAGTTCAGTCACCAATGGCCAATAATTTAATCAATCATCTCTAAGTAATAAAACTTCTAGAAAAACTCTGAAAAATGAGGCTTGGGGGTATTTCCAGGTAGGTGAACATATCAATGTACCGGGATAATGGTGCATGCATGTCAACTCCATGGGGACAGAGCGCCTGCACGCGGGTCCTTTCCAGACCTTGCCTTATGCATCTCGTGATTTGGCTGTTCTTTATATATATTATATTCTTTTTAATAAAAGTATATTATACTTTTATATTCTTTATAATGAAAGTACATTATATTATACTTTTATATTCTTCATAATAAAAGTATAATTGTAAGTATAGTGCTTTCCTGAATAGTTTGAGTCATTCTAGTGAATTATGGAAGTTGAGGTGGGGCCGGAAACCCCTGAATTTGTAGCCAAGTCAAATAGAAGCGGTAGTCATCTGGAGACCTGGAACTTGTGGCTGGCATCAGAGGTGAGGCAGTCTTGTGGGACAGAGCCGCCGCTTAGGCTATGGGATCCGTGCTAACTTTGTTAGTGTCAGGATTGAATTGAATCTTAGGGCACCCACTTTGTGTGGGAGAAGCGGGATATACGGGTGTCATGGCACCCAGAGTCTGGCAGCAGTGGGAAGCTGTTACCACCCCAAGGGGTGGAGGGACAGAGGAAAGGAGTGGCAACCAGGGACGGGAGGAGGCATGAGGAGGAGAGAACCCAACAGGAGCTGTCATTGCGTGTGCAGCTGGAGTTGTGCTCACAGTGGTGAACGCGAAGCGGGGAAGCAGGACAGATGAGAAGCCATGACTTATATTAGATGCTGTGGAGAATGGAAAGCAGGTATTGACTCTGGAAATATCAAAGGCTGTCAGGTAGTACCAGTGGGTCAGCAGACGGTGATTTGTAGTAACACCCACCTGGAGTGCTTTCCCCAGCAAAGCTTGGTAGCCTAAGTTTAGGAGCACGAAGAAGAGAAAAAGATGGGTCTAGGGATAGGGTTTTGGAAGAATGGGGCAGAGCAGATTAGAAGAAAAAAAAACAGTGGGGTTTGGGATATTAACCAGATTTTGTGAAGGTGGTGGGCTGCGGAGTCTAGGTCAGAGAAGAAGTGAAGGCAGCAGGAAGGGGGTGGTGAGGAAAAAGCGTTGCACGGAAGAGTTGAACTTCTCCAAACCCTGGTGAAGGTGAAGACAGGTAGGGTTGGAGTAACTGAGAGGATGATCTGGAGGAGACAAGGTTGTATTTAGAGATGGGATAATCAGTCTCAGAGTTTGGGGTAAAAATGGCATTAGGACATTGCTATACACTAAAATGTGACCCCCTCCCAAATTCATATGCTGAAACCCTTTCAATGTGATTGTATCTGGAGATAGGGTCTTCAGGAGGTAATCAAGACCAAATGAGGGCTGGCCATAGTGGCTCACACCTGTAATCCCAGAACTTTGGGAGGATGAGGCAGGTGGATCACTTGAGGTCAGGAGTTTGAGACCAGCCTAACCAATATGGTGAAACCCCATCTCTACTAAAAATACAAAAATTAGCCGGGTGGTAGTGGCGTGTGCCTGTAATCCCAGCTACTAGAGAGGCTGAGGCAGGAGAATCACTTGAGCCTGGCAGGTGGAGGTTGCAGTGAGCCGAGATTGTGCCGCTGCACTCCAGCCTTGGCAACAGAGTGAGACTCCATCTCAAAAAAAAAAAAAAAAAAAAAATCAAATGAGGTCATAAGTGTGCTGCCTTAATATGATAGGGCTGTGGCCTTATAAGAAGAGGAAGATATAGATGTATATCTCCCTCCTCGCCTCCCTCTCCCTCTCTTTCTCCCCTTCTCCCTGTTGTGTGAGGGCACAGTAAGAAGGCAACTATCTGCAAGCCAGAAAAAGGACCCACACTAGACCCCAATCCAGCTGGTACCCTGATCTTGAACTTCCAGCCTCCAGAACTGGGAGAAAATAAACTTCCATTGTTTAAGCCACCCAGTCTGTGATATTTTCTTATGGCAGCCTGAGGTGACTAACACAGATTTTGGTACCAGAAGTGGGGTGCTGACACAAATACCTAAATACTTGGAAATGGCTTTGAAACTGGGTAATGGCTAGAGGCTGGAAGAGTTTTGAGGTACCTGCTAGGAATATGAGCATTAAGGACAATCTGCTAAGATCCTGGATGGAAATGAAGAACATGTTATTGAAAACTGGAGGAAAGGTGATCCTTGTTATAAAGTGGCAAAGAATATGGCTGAACTGTGTCTAGTGTTTTGTGGAAGTATAACTTGCAAGCAATGAAATTGGATATTTAGTTAAGGAGATTTCTAAACATAGTGTTGATTGAAGGACAGGCTTGGTTTCTCCTTACTGCTTATAGTCAAATGTGAAAAAAGGAAGATGGATTGAAAAAAGGAATTGTAGGCTGGGCACGTGGCAGCTTACGCCTGTAATCCCAGCACTTTGGGAGGCCGAGGCGGGCAGATCATGAGGTCAGGAGTTCCAGAACAGCCTGGCCAACATAGTGAAACCCCATCTCTACTAAAAATACAAAAAATTAGCCAGGCGTGGTGGTGGGCGCCTGTAATCCTAGCTGCTTGGGAGGCTGAGGCAGGACAATCACTTGAACCTGGGAGGCGGAGGTTGCAGTGAGCCGAGATTGCGCCATTGCACGCCAGCCAGGGCACGACAGTGCGAAACTCCATCTCAAAAAGAAGAAGAAGAAGAAGAAAGGAATTATTAAAAAGGAACCAGAACTTGAAGATTTGGGAAATTCTCACCCTATTCATATTACAGATGCCCCTTCCAAACAGCTGTGCCAGTGGGTCTGGAAGGCAGGGCACAAACTAGAGGATTATCCTAGAACCTTAAGATATATTGGGATTTGCCTAACTAGGTTTTGGACTTGCTTGGTGCCTGCTGTCCCTTTCTTCTGTTCAATTTATCTCTTTTGGAATGGGAATGTCCCTCCTATGCCTGTCCCACCATTGTATTTTAGAAACAGATAACCTGCGTGAGTTCACAGGTTTCAGCCAGAGAGGAATTTTGCCTCAAGATTCATCATCAAATCTCACTCATACCTGATTTAGATGATATTTAGATGAGCCTTTGGACTTTAGACTTTGGAGTTGATGCTGAAATGAGTTAAAACTTTTGGAGCTGTTGGGATGAAATGAATATATTTTGCATGAGATAAGAACATGAATTTGGGGGGCAGGGGTGGGATGCTAGAGACTGAATTGTGTCCCCCTAAAAAATTTGTATGTTGAAGCCATAGCCCCCAATTCGACTATATCTAGATATAAAGTTTTAAAGAGGTAATTAAGGTTAAATTAGATCATAAAGATTCATCCCTAATACAATAGAACTGTGGCCTTATAATAAGAGGAAGAAAGAGAGCTTTCTCTCTCACTCTCCTAGATAGGTGAGTTGGTGAGAAGGCAGCCACCTGCAAGCCAGGAAGAGGGCCTTCACCAGAACCTGACCATGCTGGAACCCTGGTCTTGAACTTCCAGCCTGCGGAACTGGGAGAAATTAATTTCTGTTTCTTAAGCCACCCAGTCAATAGTATTTTTTATGGCAGCCTGAGCTGACTACTAGAATCATGGCTGTGGGAAAGATGGAGTGGAGAAAAAGGTCACAAGCTGAGGAAGTCAAGGAGCTGAGAAGTCAGGGTATCAGTTGGGTCAGCCACATACACATCAAAGACACCAGAATAACAGTGGGACTGAGAGTGCTGATGACAAGGGGCAGTTGCCAAACACTTTAAAGCACAAATGAGGGGGACTGTCCAGGAGGGTGTCAGATGACAGCACCTCAGAGGGATAGGATGCATTCTCCCTGGGAGCTGCTGATGGAGGGAAAGAAGACAGGCTGCAGGACCCCAAGAGTGGGGTCCACAAGGGAACAAGGAGGTGAACAGCCCACCTCAAAGACAGATGACCTAAAAACATTTATACTGTATTGACTCCGCCACCCAGATACTTAGTTCAGTACACAAATGCCTCCCATTAAAAGCCCAAAATGTTTCTCTAAAGTTTCTCTGTGAAAAAGAGACTGTGAAAGTAGAGGCAATTATTAACACAAGTGATAGAACGTTACGAAAAAGAGAAGATGCCTAGGGGAGTGATGGCATTTCTGAATGTGGGGATTCACAAAGGGCTCCAGGTACATCCTTTGGGGATAATAATCTGATCTGCAACATACAGCAGATGAAAAGTGCATGAAATAGGGGAAAGAGGCACTGTCAAAGAAACTGACACAGTCATAGATTGCCACAATAATTGTACCAGATCAGAGGGAAGGCAGCCCAGCAGAGGGCAGGTGTTTGGGCACCTGGGAGTGAGTCCACTCACTTTCATCAGGAATCCCTGAGAAATTCCAAGGGAGTTAGCCAGTCCTCCAACCTCCCAGTGAGTGGGTACCAGTCAAAGTGGGCAATGCACTTAAAACCAGAAGACGATTAAGAAGTAAAGAGGACCGCATCAAGACTTGCCTCTATTTCTAACTGGAAGAATTTGCCAGCCCTTTAGGGCAGGGGTCTGACCCCTGGTTCCAGTCTGTGGTCTGTTAGGAACCAGGCCACACAGCAGGAGGTGGGCGGAGGGTGAGTGAGCATTACCACCTGAGCTCCGCCTCCTGTGAAATCAGTGGGGGCATTAGATTCTCACAGGAGCACAAACCCTGTCGTGAACTGTGCGTGCAAGGGATCCAGGTTGCATGCTCCTTATGAGAATCTAACGCCTGATGATCTGAGATGGAACAGTTTAATCCTGAAACCACCATCACCTCCCGCCCCCCGAGCCCCGTTCCATCAATGGGAAAATTGTCTACCGCAAAACTGGTCCACGGTGCTACAGAGGCAGCAGAAGCAGCTTCGTGTGGCCTATACCTAGGTTTTAATGCACTTAGGAATGACCTGGGGCTTGTGAAAATGTGGATTCTGATTCTGTAAGTCTGGGCGGGGGCCTGAGAATGTTCTTAATAGTTAAGAAAATTGTTAAGAAAACTGCAGTCAAGTTCACCCACAGTATTGTATTAATTCTTCTCCACTGATGCTTACTGTTTACAAAATCCTGAGTTACAGAGTGCATCTTTATCATTTCTTAAATAAGATAAAAGAAGCATAAGCCACAACAGAAAAAGATTGATAAGTTTGACAAAATGAAAATGTAATATTTTTATATAACAAAAGACAACAGAAACAAAGTTAAAGCCAGTATCAAGGACAAAAGGAGCCACAGATTGGAGGAATATATTTGTAATGCATGAAACTGATAGGGAATGAGTATTCCGGATACACAAAAATCCCTGCAAATCATTGTTTTTGAGAATGAACAATTAAAAATGACTTACATATTCACCAATAAGTAAACGAATGCATACATTTTAATAAATTCATAGAAATAATGCAGAAATAGATGTTCAAAATGAATACACTAGATCTCCAAATATCAACTGAGACAAGTCTTGAAAACATGGAACTGAGTGAAGTGTAAGCTGTAGAAAACTGTATGAAGTATTATTTGTATAAAATAGAAAACATTACTAAATGTTGATTATGTACACCTATGCATGGGTAGAGGAGATACACACCAGTATCAGAATGGGGGTTCTGCTGCAGAACAGGTGGGGCTGGGAGGAGGGAGGAGTAGAAAGGAATTTCCACCACAGTGTCAGAAATCATGGAGCAGGCTGGGTGCAGTGGCTCACGCCTGTAATCCCAGAACTTTGGGAGGCCAAGACAGGCAGATCGCTTGAGCCCAGTAGTTTGAGACCGGCCTAGGCAACATGATGAAACCCTGTCTCTACAAACAATACAAAAAATTAGCTGGGCATGGGCACATGCCTGTAGTCCCAGCTATTTGGGAGGCTGAGGTAGAAGGATCACCTGAGCCCAGGAAGTTGAGGCTGCAGTGAGCCGTGATCGTGCCGCTGCATTCCAGTCTGGTTAAAAAAGCAAGACTCAAAAAAGAAAACAGAAAAGAAATCATGCGGCAGATGTGGTTAGAAACCCACATTTGTCAAATCTGTATAGCAATTATTATTCTCTGAACTTTTCTGCATGTTCAAAATATTTCAGAGAGAGATTCTTTCAGGCATCTGGAACAAGGTGACCTGAGCCCCTTTCTGAGTCCTCCTGAGCTGCTTGCAGGTCCCTAAATGGCCTGGTAGGACTCCTTCCCTCCCCTCACTACTCAAAGTGAGGTTTGCCAACAGCCGCATCACCTAGCAGCATCTTGGAAATAAATGCACATTCTCAGGCCCCCGCCCAGACTTTCAGAATCTGCATTTTCACAAGCCCCGGGTCATTCCTATGTATATTAAAACCTAGGTAGGCTACACAAAACTGCTCCTGCTGCCTCTGTCCCTTCTGTCCACTGCCCATATTGTTACCTAGATAACTCCAAAGCCTCTACCTGGATGGAGTTTAAGGATTGCATGTTCTAAGACTGCTGTGAACCCCTATCTAGAGCAGGAGTTATCTGTGTATGCTGGACACTTTATTTTATCAAGATCTGAAACACTGTTATCAGCTGCTAACCAGACAGTGAATTCCATATTAGTCCCATTAACCTTTGGGGGGTTGTCCATCATCTTATAGTACACAGCACATGGCATGAGTTCAGTGAATCTTTTAAGAATAAATGAAGAATCCACATTTTTAAGACACTGGTAAGGCCATCATCCATACTAAAAATGTTCACTCAGGGAATGGAATGTTCTGATTCTGGAACACTTTAATACGTGGAATTAATTTCTTATTATCTTTTAAAGTTCTAAATCTAAAATAGATTAAATTTATTTAAAAATTATTGGCATTTTAAAAAACTGTGCATGTTTAACATTTTGTAGCAAAGTAGTATTTTTTATAGCACATCTTAATAAATTGATGTAAAAAATGTCTCCACTTCAGGAACTCTTAGTCTTTCAAGGACTCTTGGCCCCATTTGAAAGCCTAATGGCAGATAGAGACCTTTTCCCCAGACAAATGCACATAATCAGCAATACATAATTTCAGTTTTCACAAACCCCAGGCAAAGAGTATCTGCCCTAAATTCAACAAGGCTGTAGATGACCCCCTTATCTCACATCGTTCCAGAGTTTTCTACTGTGTCATGTGAATGAAGATGTGTCACAGAGAATCCCACCATATGACACCTTTCATAGCCACTCTTCATTCCTCTCGCTGTGAAAACAATCCCCCAAATTATGAGCAACTTAAAAAACTCTTATGAGCATTAACTAATAAAGTGGTGCTCAAAAGTGTTTCCTTGGCTGGGTGCAGTGGCTCACACCTGTAATCCCAGCACTTTGGGAGGCTGAGGCAGGTGGATCACGAGGTCAGGAGATCGAGACCATCCTGGCTAATACAGTGAAACCCTGTCTCTACTAAAAATAAAAAAAATTAGCCGGGCGTGGTAGCACGTGCCCGTAGTCACAGCTACTTGGGAGGCTGAGGCAGGAGAATCGCTTGAACCCAGGAGGCGGAGGTTGCAGTGAGCCAAGATCATGCCACTGCACTCCAGCCTGGGTGACAGAGTGAGACTCTGTCTCAAGAAAAAAGAAAAAAGTGTTTCCTTTTGAACGTGCCCCCCGGGTTTCCACCTGTGGATGTAGAAGACGGGAAGTCTAGAATCCATACTGCTGCTCAGAGGCCATCACACAGGGTACATGGGCCTGAGTGAGTGACCGCACTGCCCTCGTTAACTGGACTAAATAGTATTTTATCACATTTTGTTGTCGTTTTGTTGCTTTTTTTTTTTTTCTTGAGACAGTTTCATTCTTGTTGCCCAGGCTGGAGTACAGTGGCACAATCTCGGCTCACTGCAACCTCTGCCTCCCCAGCTCAAGTGATTCTCCTGCCTCAGCCTCCCCAGTAGCTGGGATTACAGGCGCATGCCACCATGCCTGTCTAATTTTTGTATTTTTAGTAGAGACGGGGTTTCTCCATGTTGGCCAAGCTGGTCTCGAACTCCTGACCTCAGGTGATCCACCCGTCTGAGCCTCCCAAAGTGTTGGAATTACAGGTGGGAGCCACTGCACCCGGCTCTTGTTGCTTTTCTTAAGAGACATTTAAAAATGCCTTGGTAGCAGGTAGAAAAGCAGCAGAAATATTTTATTCTATTTACAGGCACCATCAAACTACCACATGGTTTTAAATATAAACAACTACCAATAAACAAGTAACACCCACAGAAATCCAGAGCCAGGAGGAGACATCTGCATTAGGCTCTGGTGCTGAAAGAAGCCTCCATCACCAGGTCAAGTTTATTTGCCAAAAAGAGAAAAAATAAATAAGTCCACCACCCAATCCCTTCTGGAGCAGCCATCCTTTCCCCTCCCCCTCCACATTCAGTCACTGGAACTGGAAGTCACTTTCATGCCAAATAATAATGACGGCCAGGTGTGGTGGCTCATGCCTGTAATCCCAGCACTTGGGAGGCAGAGGCAGGCGGATCACGCGATCAGGAGATCGAGACCATCCTGGCTAACACAGTGAAACCCTGTCTCTGCTAAAAATACAAAAAATTAGCCGGGTGTGGTGGCACGTGCCTGTAGTCCCAGCTACTCGGGAGGCTGAGGCAGGAGAATCACCTGAACCCAGGAGGCGGAGGTTGCAGTGAGCCGAGATAGCACCACTGCACTCCAGCCTGGGTGACAGAGCAAGACTCTGTCTCAATAATAATAATAATAATAATAATAATAATAATAATAATAATAACGATACTAATTCATTATTAGTGTCATTTAACAAATAATGAATTTGCACCATTTTTAACTTTGCAAAGCTCTTTCACTTTTGTTAGTGTAGCATTTTAATTATGTTACCAGAAAGGAAAGAGTGAGCTGGAAGCTGGGCCGCCTTCCTTCACTCAGCCCCACAGCCCATCCCAAACCGCTCCAAACACAGCTCCTGCAGAGCACCCGCAGAAACCACCCACGTGTGTGTGTGTGTGTGTGTGTGTGTGTGTGTGTGTGTCTGAATTCATGCTGAGTCATGGGAGCCAGTGTTGTGCATTGTCTGGTTGGTGAGGAGCTCTCAGATGTTTGTGAAATGATCCCTGGGGGACATGAGTAAGCTCTTCCTAGACTCTGAGTGCTGAGGTCAGAGATTGATAGAAAAAGAATTAGAAATTTTGAAAAAGGCGTAGAAATTCCAAGCAGGGCAGAATTCCTAAGAGAGACTATTCTTTTTAAAATTACTGACTCTCTTTTGAGGACTCATATCATTAAGGATCTGGAGATAAAGAGAAACTTTGGATGAGTAATACTTTTATTTTGAATTTTAAATATTGCACTGATGTTTTTAAAATAAAGCAACCTCATCCAGATAATAGAAGTGCAAGATGAGCTTCCCATAGTGGAACTTGCTTCCACCAGTGGCTGGTTAACTACATTAATTGGTTAACTAACAGGGCAGCCAATTTGGTCCTTGATGGGATAGCTAGTTTCTCCTTGCTTCTTTCATTCACCATTTATTGAATGCTAACCCTTCATTCGCACCATTTACTAGGTGCTAAATGTGAAGGAAACACAGTTGGACCTTCCCAGAGCTTAATGTTTCATGGAAGAACTCAGAGAAAACCCATTTTAATAGATTTAAGCCATCTGTTTCCAGAGAGATGAAGCTGGGAAATGACCGTGTAACCCATCATCTGTGCAAGACAGGAAAATACCCTATTGTCAGCCATTTCATTACTGGTGAAACGAAGGTGTTCTACACAGATTCGGTTTGCAGGGAGGCAGCATGGAGAATGTACTGGCTGGGAACCAGAAGAATTGAGCTCTAGGACCGTATCACCCTCGAATAAACTCTTTTTCTTTTCTTTTTTTTTTTTTTGAGATGGAGTTTCACTCTTATTGCCCAGGCCAGAGTGCAATGGCACAACCTCAGCTCACCACAACCTCCGCCTCCTGGGTTCAAGTGATTCTCCTGCCTCAGCCTCTCACGTAGCTGGGATTACAGGCATGTGCCACCATGCCCAGCTAATTTTGTATTTTTAGTAGAGATGGGGTTTCTCCATGTTGATTAGGCTGGTCTCAAACTCCCAACCTCAGGGATCCACCCACCTTGGCCTCCCAAAATGCTGGGATTACAGGTGTGAGCCACCGGGCCCGGCCGCCTCTAATAAACTCTTAAATTTAGGTCAAAGGATTCCACTTTCCTAGGCCTGTTTCCTCTCCTAGAAATGGGGGGGTTCAGTAGATGGCTAGAGGCTCCATTTAGCTTCATTATTTGCTATCACTCAAAAACCTCACAGTCCTGAGAAAGGCAGCCATGATTAATTCCTCGTTGTCTTGGAAGAGAACTAGTTGTGGTGCACTAGCCAACACATAAGCAAGCTCAGCCCTTAGCCAGCGGCTGCCTTCCCTCTTCTACTGTGACTAACCACCACTGGACCTTAAGGCAGTTGTTGGAACCAGTAAAAAGAATGTTCCTCTCCTGGCCATAAGTACAAGTGGTTATTTGCAAAGCTACATAATGGCGTTAATTAGTGAGAGTTCACACTTGGGCTTAATGTAAACAGACTCTCCTAGTAACAGACAACTTCAAACAGTGAGGCTGAATTCCAGTGTAGACACTACCTAAGCAAGTGAAGAATCAATTTTGAGGGGAAAATTAGAGACTTTGGGATGGAGTCCAGAAACCATGGGGTGGGGTTCGGTCATCGGAGGAAGGAGAGGGGCCACCTGAATGATTTTCCCTGAGCAGCTGATAAGCATATTAATCTGGGCAACTGAAGATCCCTATCAAACTATTGATACAGCTGTGTTTGGCTCCAAGTGTGCTGAATCTGTGCCAGCTCTTCACAACCTGTGATCTAATGAGCTGAGGACAGGAACTGGGACCTGGCCCTTGCGTGCTCCTTTGAAGGAAGAAGGGAAGGAATCAAAAGTGGAGAAAAGAGGGCTGGGCGTGGTGGCTCATGCCTGTAATCCCAGCACTTTGGGAAGCAGAGGTAGGCGGATCACCTGAGGTCAGGAGTTAGAGACCAGCCTGGCCAACATGGAGAAACCCGGTCTCTACTAAAAATACAAAAATTAGCCGGGCATGGTGGTACGCGTCTGTAATCCCAGCTACTCGGGAGGCTGAGGCAGGAGAATCGCTTGAACCTGGGAGGCAGAGGTTGCCGTGAGCCGAGACCATGCCACTGCACTCCAGCCTGGGCGACAGAGTGAGACTCTGCCTCAAAAAAAAAAGAAAAAGAAAAAGAAAGAAAGAAAAGCGAGCCTACAGGAAGGGGACACCATTTCGACTTTGTTTTCTGGTTCTTTTACCTTACCCGTCTTCGAAAGCTAGGCCTATGAGACTAGCTACAAATATAAAACGTACCTTTACGGAGAGGACATATGGGCAAGGAATGATTTAAATTCTTAGCCAATTCCTCTTGGGGTTTAGACACATTGTCACTCTCGTTAAATGGAAATGTGAAGGATAAATTCTTAGCCAACATCAAAAGGAGTGGCGTTTGAAAGTAGCGATAGAGAAGAAAGCGGGCTCTCTCGCAGTCAGAGGCCTAATCTCACCCCACCTCCACACTGCACCCACCCGGATGAGGGTTCCTTCCTGGAAGCTTTCATGTGTCTCAGAAGAAAATAATTACCATCAGAGCCACTCGAAGAACAACAAAAGAAATCCTTCCTTCTTATTTTATAGTCACGGGTTATTTTAAACCCCAAATGGTATTTCTCAGTTTAATCGCTAAACTTGGTTTCAATTGACTTTTACTCAGTTTTCTTAAAGTCGAGAGCATAAAAAATTTCTCACAATTGAGACTATTCAAAAGAACGTGCGGCAGACTCCAAATGCAATATCAGGAAGAGGGGGCCAGAGGGGTTTAGACAATACAGCACCTTTTTCAGAAGTCTATTGTCCTCTGTGGAAGAGGTGAGAAATTTGTCTGTACAAGTCCAGGCTTGCTTGTATTAAAATATCTAATTTTATACATAACATTCTTATCTGATAGGCAGCATTAAGATCCTCTTAAAATGAACTAGGTGGAGGAAAAGGGCAAAACCATGATACACAGTCACAGGAAACAGTTTAGATTTTCCTTGATTGGATTCCTTCTGGAGAGAGATTCCCGAGGACCTCCAGAGCCACACCTGGCTCCTTTGATGACTTTCAAACTCGCTCCAGGCACCGATGGTGAATCCCTAAGGGGCCTCAAATAACGGTGGCTGTCGAATGAAAGGCCAAAGTAGTTTACCTGAGTGTCTAGTGAGTTCTGTTTCCAATAGTGGGGTTTTCTGAACATCTCACATAATGAAGACAGAGTGGAAGTTACAGAATTTTATACTCAAGAGGTTTTGAGTCTATCCCGGAACCCAAAGCAAAGGAGAGTCAGGCAACTTTATAAGAAGCCCTCACTGTCTAGGGGCCTGTTTTGTTCAGGGAATAAAGGCTAATGCTAAAATGATCCTCCTGACTTTGTAAATGATTTCCAGAGGGCTCAAGGGCTTAGGGATGGCTCCCGGGAGCGCGCAGTGGTTGACAGTACTGGCCTGAGGAGCTGGAAGTGGACATTTTCCTGGAGGGAAGTGATTTGGGATTTCCCAAGGTCACTGGTATTGGGGCAGAGAGGAAGCCAGTTCCAGAAGCAAAGGTATGAGTCAGAGAAGCCCACTGGGCCCAACTCTTGCTGAGAGGACAGGGAGAGGAAGGGGCAGTGGACATGCATCCGACTGGAGATGAGCCCTGTCAGATCTAGACATCTACCCCATGGAATCAGAAAGATCTGGCAGAAGTTTCCCACTCTTTCCATCTGGGGGAGATGGCTAACCGTAGTGGATGAGAGTCCCAAGCATTGGCATGAGACAGGTCTGAGTTTCTGTTTTGAATCCTGGTTCTGATACTGCATGACCTTGGGCAAGTTACTTAACATCTTTTAAGGTTTGTGTCACGCGCATCTGTATGAAGAGAGTCCACCAAACAGGCTTTGTGTGAGCAACAAGGCTGTTTATTTCACCTGGGTGCAAGCAGGCTGTGTCCAAGAAAGGAGTCAGCAAAGGGTGCTGGGATTATCATTAGTTCTTATAGGTTTGGGATAGGCGGTGGAGTTAGGAGCAATTTTTTATAGGCAGGGGGTGGATCTCACAAAGTACATTCTCAAGGGCGGGGAGAATATTACAAAGTACCTTCTTAAGGGCGGGGGAGTATGACAAAGTATATTATTGCAAGGGCGGGGAGGGGGTATTGTCATAAGGTCAATTGATCAGTTAGGGTGGGTAGGAACAGATCACAATGGTGGAATGTTATTTTTTGTGGTTCTTCATTTGCTTCAGGTCATCTGGATGTATATGTGCAGGTCACAGGAGATGTGATGGCTTAGCTTGGGCTCAGAGGCCTGACAGTTTGTATCCTCGTCTCCGTAATGGTGCAATGATCCTTCCTTCGCGTAGGGTACCTTAAGTGAGATGAGATATGTGGAAAGGTGATCGCGTGCTCAAGAAATGCTAGCTGTGAGGATTATTAAGGTTATTAGGAATGTGTCACGTTTCTGGTTCTGTCCAAGATGCAAAGCAACGTGTCTGCAGCAAGACAGGGCAAGCGGGAGAAGGTGGAGCCAGGACCTACCATTAGAGCTGCTGGGTGGATGAAAATAGGGGCTGCCCCTTGTGGGGGTTCTGTGGGGTGGACAGGACACTGCTGGAGTGTGGCAGGCCTTCACTCTTGCTGCCCTTTAGCCTAGGGGACCACCTAGAGGGCCGGATCTCCTGCCCCGGGGCAAGGCAAGGCATTCAGGACAGCACAGGTCTGGCCTGCAGACATTCGCTACCAGGAAGTCTGATCACAGCAGCAAATTCAAGCTCTGGGTCTATCGGTCTCTACTGTAGAATTATTTAGTAGAACTAATGGAATGAAATGTCCGCTGGGGATTCCAACCTCTTTTCTCTCTTTGATTGACAGTGGAATCTGGCCCCAGGTTTGTGGTGATGAGGAATCAGATAAACTCTATAGAGATGGTTTGAGTGGTTGGGGTCAGGATGACCACTTCTGATAGCAACTCAATCATACCGAATTCATTCACATTATCTCATTGGTTCCTCACACCAACCTGTGTGATGGGCAGTAACTCAGGTGTGATGATTATTCCCATTTTACAGATGAGGAAAGTAAGGCTGGCAGAAGTAATGGGACTTGTTCAATGTCACACAACCAGAAGGTTGTGAGGTCTGGGCAAAAATACAGGAGGTCTGACTTAGATGCTCCACCTTCCCCACTAGGTCCTGTGAGGTGTTTCTTTGGGCTTGAAACTTTATCCTTGTGAATGTAGGCTTTTATCTTTAGAAGCAGACAGTAAAATAGGGCTTCATGTGCAAGGAAGCAGGCAATGGATTTGGGGCTTTTGTTGTCCGTGCTCACCTGTCCCAGGTTAAGGGGGAACTAAACTCCCAGATACCTTTTTTTTTTTGGAGACAGAGTTTCACTCTTGTTGCCCAGGCTGGAGCGCAATGGTCCGATCTCAGCTCACTGCAACCTCTGCCTCCCAGGTTCAAGTGATTCTCCTGCCTCAGCCACCCGAGTAGCTGGGATTAGAGATGTGCGCCATCACCCCCAGCTAATTTTGTATTTTTAGTAGAGACGGGGTTTCTCCGTGTTGGTCAGGTTGGTCTCCAACTCCCGATCTCAGGTGATCCACCCGCCTCAGCCTCCCAAAGTGCTGGGATTACAGGCGTGAGCCATCGCACCTGGCACACTCCCAGCTACTTCTTACTGTCTTGGCAAATCAACCAAGACAGTAGTAATTAAAAAGCAATGCTTTGAAAAACAGGTCTAACGTTGGGGGCTGATAGAAGTAAAAGCCCTTGAAGCCGTCCTCCTTTCCCCAGTCTCCAGACCCCCAAACTAAATAAAGAGCCCGGAGGGAATGTGGACAAAGCAGGGAAGTCAGGCCCTACAGTGTGACTTTGGCCAGGAAGGGTTTGAAGCGCCCTGCATCCCAATCACATCATGCTGGGTCATGTTAATAGCAAATCTTGGTATTTTTCGTTACATGAGCTAATCAAGTTCCTTTTTTGCATAAGCCAGTTTACCCTGAGTTTTCTATAATTTGCATGTGAAAAAATACTGATGCCGATGCACTCACGGTACAGGTAATTTCCTGTAGATTTCTTGCCATGAAGTATGAAAACCTAATATGCCACCTAAAACTAATTTTCAGGCAATGACATGTAAAGTATTCCCTGTAGCTTCAGACTCACTAACCAGCATACTGTGCCTTCTCCCCATTGTTGCTGTGTCCTCAGAGAATGCGAGCATTATTCAAATATCCTAAAGTCATAAGCTGTTCCTTGCCAGCTCAGATGATGCTCTTCCCAGCCCTGCTTTCTTTGTTCTATCAGCGGCCATAAGGACAATTTTTGGTGTCCACCATAAGGATTGGTGATCCACAAGGTGTCATTTTCAAAAAATGAGAAATGGTTTATCATACAACCCATCAATCCTACTCCTAGATATTTATGCAAGAGAAATGAAAACACATTCTACACAAAGAACCCTATATGAAGGTTTCTAGCAGCTTTGTTCATAGTAGCCCCAAACTGGAAGCAACCACAATGTCCATTAACATGAGAATGCATGACAAGCTAGGGGCTATGCCTACAGTGAGACACTGCTCAATGACAAAAAGGTATAAAATGTGGATACAGCAACCACATGGGCAAATCTCACAAGTGTTATGCTAAGTGAAAGAAGCCAGGCGCAAGAGAGTGTGAGCTGCCTCGTTCCATTTATTCCAAGTTCTAGAACAGGAAAAACTAACCTGTAGTGAGAGAAGGCCTAGGGTGGTGTGTAGGGGGCTGGCTGCAAAGAGGCACAACAGATCGTTTTTGGGGAGGGTGAAATGCTGTGTGTCTTGATTCAGGAGATGGTTTCAAAGGTGTACACATCACTGAACTGTACATTTAAAATGTATGTATGTAAATTATACCTCAATAAAGTCATTTTTTAAAGGTGAGGTATTTTGGGGTTTTCTTAACTTCCCTTTAAAACTTGTAATGTTGCTGGGCGCAGTGGCTCACGCCTGTAATTCCAGCACTTTCGGAGGCTGAGGCAGGCAGATCACCTGAGGTCGGGAGTTCGAGACCAGCCTGATCAACATGGAGAAACCCTATCTCTACTAAAAATACAAAATTAGCCAGGCATGGTGGCACATGCCTGTAATCCCAGCTACTCGGGAGGCTGAGGCAGAAGAATCCCTTGAATCTGGGAGGCGGAGGTTGCAGTGAGCAGAGATCATACCATTGCACTCCAGCCTGGGCAAAAATAGCGAAACTCCATGTCAAAAAAAGTAAATAAATAAAATAAAATAAAACAAAACTTGTAATGTTTATACTTAAAATAGCATTATCCAATTTTCCTCTATAAATACTATAAGTAAATCATATTACGGAAATGCCGTGTACCAACTACCACAAGCAAGCACATCTGGTTCCTACCTTCGCGTTTCATTCTCGCTATTCCTTTTATTTGGAATATACTGTTCCCTCTTCTCTCTCTGGCAGAATCCTATATCGCATCCCATCCTTCCTTTGTTCGTTCATTCAGCAAATGTTTATTGAATGCCAGGCCCTGTGACCGGCAGTGGAGCTACCGAGACGTACAAATCTAGTAGGTGCTTTAGGGACACCTACTAGAAAGTGGAGTTTTACTTGAATGCCCTTGGATTTCTATTCCAAGCATTTTCTGGCCGATAAAAAGACTCTGTCAAAGACTGTTAACCTGGAGGCTCCAGTCTGCTCTGTTACATTACCTAAAAGTAGGCTGGTTATTCCATACACATGTATTTCACAGCCTCCCCTAAAGGTTCTATGTTAACTTTTAAGAAATGGAATCATTGATAAAGTTAACAAGGCAGAAGAAAAAGCTCTAAGAAACCAAAGAAAAATTGGCTTAAATGTATTTCTAGGTCAATGATGAAAACAAAATAGAATATGGAAATGTAAACACAAATGGAACAAGAGAACTTTAAAATAAAAAGTGATAGTTACCATGTGTCTCAGGGCTGGAGGACCACCTGGCCTTGCTGGCCTCTTACACCAGAGCCTGGGCCATAGCTCATAATTTTGCTGATATTGGCATCTTTTAACTTTGGAGTGTTTTTAAAAATCAGTTACTATAACAAGCTCTCATTAAAATTTATTTTTCAGCCAGGCACGGTGGCTCATGCCTGTAATCCCAGCACTTTGGGAGGCCAAGACGGGCGGATCACCTGAGGTCGGGAGTTCGAGACCAACCTGACCAACATGGAGAAACTAAAAAAAAATATATATATATACAAAATTAGCCAGGTGTGGTGGCACATGCCTGTAATCCCAGCTACTCGGGAGGCTAAGGCAGGAGAATTGTTTGAACCCAGGAGGCGGAGGTTGCAGTGAGCCAAGATGGTGCCATTGCACTGCAGCCTGGGCAACAAGAGCAAAAAAAAACCTCCGTCAAAAAAAAAAAAAATTATTTTTCAATCATTTGAATTTTTGTGTCCCTCTCATCAACTTTCGGTTTCAAACCATTAAACCTTTTCTTGATTAAAAAAGTCATCACATCTGGGTGCAGTGGCTCACGCCTATAATCCCAGCACTTTGGGAGGCCAAGGCGGACGGATCATTGGAGGTCGGGAGTTCGAGACCAGCCTGACCAACATGGAGAAACGCCATCTCTACTAAAAATATAAAATTAGCCGGGCATGGTGGCACATGCCTGTAATCTCAGATACTCAAGAGGCTGAGGCAGGAGAATCACTTGAACCCGGGAGGCAGAGGTTGAGTTGAGCTGAGATCGTGGCATTGCACTCCAGCCTAGGCAACAAGAGCGAAACTCTGTCTAAAAAGAAAAAAAAAGTCATCATAGAGATAAAAACCTATACAGAGAGAAATTACTGATTGTATTAGTTCATTCTCACATTGCTATAAAGAAATACCTGAGACTGGGCAAATTATAAAGAAAAGAGGTTTAATTGGCTCACAATTCCAGAGGCTGTACAAGCGGCAGGATGGGCATCTGCTCAGCTTCTGGGGAGGCCTCAGGAAGCTTACAATCACGGTGGAAGGCAAAGAGGGAGCAGACACTTCACATGGCCAGAGCAGGAGCAAGAGTCGGGGTAGGGGTTCGGCTTCTGCTATGTTCAGAGAAGCCCAAAACACATTTTGGGTGGAGGGGTTGCCACACACTTTTAAACAAACAGATTCCAAAAGAGAACTCACTATCTTTTTTTTTTTTTTTTTTGAGGCAGAGTCTTGCTCTATCACCCAGGCCAGAGTGCAGTGGCGCTATCTGGGCTCACTGCAAGCTCCACCTCCCAGGTTCACGCCATTCTCCTGCCTCAGCCTCCCGAGTAGCTGGGACTACAGGCGCCCGCCACCGCGCCCGGCTAATATTTTGTATTTTTAGTAGAGACGGGGTTTCACCGTGTTTGCCAGGATGGTCTCGATCTCCTGACCTCGTGATCTGCCCGCCTCGGCCTCCCAAAGCGCTGGGATTACAGGCGTGCGCCACCGCGCCCGGCCCCAGAGAACTCACTGTCTTGAGGACAGCATTAAGGGGATGGTGTTAGACCATTACTGAGAAACCGCCCCCATGACCTGGTCACCTCCCACCAGGCACCACCTCCAACAGTGGGGATTACAATCTGATGTGGGATTTGATGGGGAAACATATCCAAACCATATCACTGATTTAGAACTTGAAATGAAATATTAATGTTTGAGATGTCATTTTTTTTTTTACAAAAGTAAACTTTTAATTTTAGAATAGTTTTAGACTTATAAAAAATATTACAAAGATAGTACAGGGAGTTCCCTCATACCTCACACTCAGTTTGCCTTCTTACCATCTTACATTAGTCTGATACATTGTCACAACTGATGAATCAGTATGGATACATTATTATTAATCTAGGTCCACTGTTTAGTGCAATTTCCTTAGTTTTTCCTTAACATCTTTTCCTGTTCCGAGATCCTATCCAGCATATCCCATTACATTTTGTCATCCTTTCTCCTGTAGGCTCCATTTGGACATGACACGTTCTCAGACTTTCCTTGTTTTTGATCACCCAGACAGTTTGAGTACTGCTCAGGTATTTTGCAGACTGTCCCTCAGTAGGAATTTGTTTGATGTTTTCCTCATGGTTAGACCAGGTTATGGAGGTTATGGGAGAGGTAAAGTGCCATTCTCACCGTATCATATCAGGGGTACACAGCGTCAGCATGATTCATCACTGTTGATGCTAACTTTGATCATCTGGCTGAAGCAGTGCTTTTCACTGTAAGAGTTTTTCCACTGTAACCTTATTTTTCCCCGTTTCCACGCTCTTTGGAAGGAAATCAATACGTGCAGCCCCCACTTAAGGAGCGAGGACTTATACTCCTGCTTGAGGGCTGAGTATCCACATCAATTATTTGAAATTTTCTGCATGGGAGATCTATCTCTTCTTCCTCATTTATCCAATCATTTATTTTTCACATACAGACACACAGTATAGATTTTATAATTTGGGTTATTTATTATTCAATAGCACTTTATTTTTTGCTCAAATGGTTCCAGCTTTGGACTTTGGGAGCTCTTTCATTTGGCTCCTGTGTCCCTTTCGCACACCCCATAATTGTGTGGGTGGAGGGGTGTGGAGGTGTTCAGCTCTTCCTTACTTCCCGGCACTATACAAAATGCCCCAGGATCACCTTGTAGATTTCCTGCCCCATCCTAGAATCAACCATTTGTCTCCAAGGGGTCCTGGTTCCTTATATTGGAGAATGGTATTAGATACCAAGATCTGGGTGCTAGGTGTGCTTGTTGATACTAGGGTGTTAAATCACCTTATAAATAGAAAAAGTGCTTTCCTCAAAGTTCAAAATTCAAAACCTTAAAAATACTGTTAACTTAGAATGTTTTAGTGACTTTATCCATATATTTACATGTATTTTGCTATAGGAACGATAAATTTTAATTCAAAGCCCTCTTAGATGGCCTAGAATTTGGACTGAAAATAATATGCATACACAGCCATTTTTTTAAATATGAAAAGTCATTTATGACTATCTAATGGTAATAAATTCAAACCAGCCTTATTAAAGAAAGAAGTTAAATAAACCAATGTCTTGGTCAAAACAGCTTACCTCAGAAAGTATACTCTGGGTCTAATAATCTGCCTCCTTCAGGAATATTCATTCCTCTTGTTGCCCGCTAGCTTCCAGTCATAAAAAAAAATCCGTTTAATAACTTTAGATTTGGTTACATCCATCTGTGTGTTTTTCTTCACCTCCATTTAGAATTAGTAGGAAAAGCATTAGAACAAAAGGGTTGTTTAAAGAACATTAGTTTATCTCATTTGAAAAGTGAAACTTCTTTCATGTAAGCTCTGGTTACTTCATTGTTCTTTCCACAAGCCCTTCTAACAATGATTATCTGCAGTTTGCCCACCCACTGTCAAGAGCTCAGCATCCATACTTGAAACTCAAGCTTCATATGCCAACTTTGGGATGATTCTCATCAAACAGAAGAGGCTGTTTCCATGCTGGAATAAAACATATAATATTCACTTATAAGTCTTGGCATTGTGTTATTTTCGTGTGTGTGTGTGTGTGTGTGTGTGTGTGTCAAAGAACATTTTTTTTTCTTTTTTGAGATGGAGTCTTGCTCAGTCACCAGGCTGGAGTGCAGTGTGGCATGACCTTGGCTCACTGCAACCTCTGCCTCCCAGTTCAAGCGATTCTCCTGCCTCAGCTTCCCGAGTAGCTGGGACAATAGGTGCGCACCACCATGCCTAGCTAATTTTTGTATTTTTAGTAGAGATGGGGTTTCACCATGTTGGCCAGGATGGTCTTGATCTCCTGACCTCGTGATCCCCTCGGCCTCCCAAAGTGCTGGGATTACAGGCGTGAGCCACCGTGCCTGGCCCAAAGAACATTCTTAAGTACAGTAAGACAAAGATGACATCTATGATTTTCATCAAACAAAAGCCAACATCAAATTTTAGATCGATTTGCTTCACTAATTTTTTTAATTCAATAAAAGACTTCAAAATTAAATTTTGACCAAACTTTGAAAGTAACTGGGCCCTAGCCATCACATTTACAATGGAGTAGCTTTTTGCATAGAAGTCTTATCTTCACTTTTTCTGTTTTCACTTGGCCTTTTGATGAATTTGTCTTGTACTAGATGAGTAGGTAGTTTTTCTCAAGATACTACCTGTAACTTTCCTTAGGATAGATTATGTGACATTTTTATTACTTCTGTCACTTAACCAAAGTAGCTTTTTCATTTTCATTTATGATAGGTTTTGTAAATGTCAAATTTCTTGTTAAAGAGTCAGACTTGATATTCCAAAAGGCAAAGGATGATATAAATAATATTCAAGTATACACAACTAGAGTTGGAAATAATTTCAATCACTTTCTCCCACCCTCCCAAAATCAAGGTAACCTAATTTTCAAATAGTTATTTGAAAGGAAGAAATCAAGCTGCAGTTTAAAAAAAAAATGACACAGGATATTCTAAAATGTGATATATCTATCTATAATTCAAGTATAAAGACCATGAATAATCAGAGAAACCAACGTGAAATACATTTGGTATGACTTGCAGCGTACATTTAAAGTTAATTAACCCTGACTTGAATTCCTTAGAATTAACTTTTACAGAATTATAGAGGATTTAAAATTAGGTTTCCATCAATTTTAGAGGTAAGCTAAAACATTTTTTCTCCTGTTATCTCCAAGGAAATAAAACTGTTCAAATGTATTGGTGATTAGGTTATGACTTTCATTTCCTTTCCTTATTTTCTCAATTTTTAGAAAACTATAAACTGGTAGATTCTTTAACATACTTTCAAAGGAAAAGGGAATGACTCAGCTTCTTTATTAAGATCACTGGGTTCAGGATACTCACATAAATTTAGGGTCACAAACACAGCTACTTTTGGGGGCCAAATGTCATGCATGAGGGGCATGTGTCAGGCAGGGATGAGGGCAAGCTGGAGAGTGCCTGCTCATTTACTGCAGTCCAAGAAAGCACGGTCCTGCAAACATGGGGCATCAAAAGGACAATGGCTTCTGCTATGATGTTCAGAGAAGCCCAAAACACATTTTTTTCTAAGTATTCAATCTCCCAATTTTGAAATGTTAGCAATTATTTTCCTGAAAACATTGCCTATGGTCTGTGAGCTGCATTTGGCCTATAAGCCACCATCTGCAAGCCAATACTGCCCAAGAGAAGATAATATTGGGAGCTAATCCAGTAACCACAATGCCTTACAACAAGACATATAATTGTCAAATTCATTTCAAGTCTCATGTTGGCTGATCTGAGCACCATCTTTGAGAGATGAACAAACACAAAAAGGTTGCTTGATGATTTAAGAAACAAAGTAAACAGTTTGATGATTTGAATAGACAGTATCATCAAGTGATTAATAACTTGATACACTCATTTATTTGACAAAGATGTATTGAGTGCCTTGCATGTACCAGGCACTGTTTTAACCACCAAGCATACAGCTGAGCACAAGGCACCTATCCCCGAAGGTGCTTACATTCTAGAGGCAGAACGTAAATCTAACTAAGCAAACAAGAAAAATAGCAGCTGATGATAATGCTCATTCAGAAAATTAAAAACAGTAATTTTTTAACAGGTGTCTGGCTTTCCTATCCTGGTCCATGGATCTCAAACCTCACCCACTGAGGCTGTCAGAGTGTCAAATTCTTCCTCTTTACTCCTTTTGCTCACGTTATGAGATCACTTGTGGTATGTTTTAATAAATTGAAGGCCACTTTATTTTAAAGTAGTTACACTTTAATCTTCTTGACTAGATTTGGTGGAAATATCAATCCAGGAGGAATTTAGGGAAACCTCTAATCTAATCAACAGCTTAATTACAATGCCTGGGTCAGTGCTGCAGCTAGTTAATTTCAAACATTTTATGTTGCCTCCTTTTAGCTTCAGTTTTAGAGGATACCATTTTCCAGTGTGTCCCTAAATTCTAAGAATGTACCATTTGAGGATTTTTACCACCTTTTGCGAACAAAGACTAATAACATCTTCACAATGAAACTCTTTTCCTAGGGCCAGGGCTTCTCCCACGTAAAAATGCACATTAACAAACATCTTTGTAAACTCTTCCCTATAGTTGCCCCTGTATGATGAAATGGAGAAATCCGGTAATGTCCAGTCAGAAAATCTGGGTTCAAAACCAGATATTTGGCTCAGCTGGGGACCAACTCTTTGATCTGGTAGTCAGTCACCTGATCCTTGCTGTTTCTCTTTGAAAGCCCACTTCTTGGGGCGCTGAATGTGAGGACTGAGTGAGAGTGTGAATTTGAAAGCCAACTCTGAAACGCTGGCTATGATAGTTATTCTGATTGGAAGGGCCATTAAGGTCAATGGCAATGCTCCTTTTGTGATCAGTTACAAGAAAACAAATGGGTCCTTGTGACTGTGGGGGAAGGGAGGCAGAGCCAGACACAAAGTGGACCTCTTCTGGAAAATCAGCCACTGAAAGGAAAATAAATAAAATCCGTAAAGTTATATTTCAATTCAAAAAGAAATGTGGATTGTATGTAATGGCAAGAGGAGCACTGGTAATAATACATGTCTAACATTCATTGCGCACTTACTCTGTTCCAGGCATGGAGGTCAGAACTTTGCATGTATTAGCTCTTCAAATGAGGGGAGGAGAGGGAAGGAAAAGAAAAGTTAAGCTAATAAATAATGTGAAGTTGAAAAATTACCACGTACACAACGTGCACTATCGTGTCCCCCCCCGCCCCAAGCCCCCAGCTCTTTATATATGTGGTTTCCAGACCCATTTCTCAGCGGTCTGGTGTCTTTTGCAGCCCTTAGGGCCCCTTCCGCCCATTGTTATCTAATCACCCCTTCTCGGCCACGCAGGAAGGTCCACAACCTCCCCTGTCCCCCAAGACCCGCCCCCCGGCAGCCTTCAGAAATAGTTCTCTGGTACGTATGTGCCAGCATTTTATGCAGTAAACACATGTTGCCCTTAACACTGAACTGCAGGTTAAAAATGTATTCCACTAAATTGTGCAGCGGTTAGCTGAGCAAATAATGAAAATGCAAAAGAATACATTCAGTATATGGAGCTTAGAATATATCCTTTTGGAAAGCTAAACATTTTTTTTTTTTTTGCCCCAAATAAGACTAGAAATGGATTGCTCCATTTAAGACTTCCATTAATAAACTTCTCAGAATATGAAATGCCTCCAAAATGTGGGGACGCTGGGTTGAAAGGTGCCGGATAATTCTCTTTGGTGCGTGCGCTGGGTGCAGGAGGAAATATGCTAATGTAGCCGTTTGCCGCAGGGCTGGTGTTATTTATACAGCGCTGGCTGGGCAAGGTTGGCGCTGGAGCAGGAGAGGAGGGAGAGGTTTGTCTTCTTGTGTGAGAGTATAGATGTGTGCGCCTGTGCACACGGCGTTCCAAACGTGAATACAAGATCTTAGGGAGGGGGTGGGGAATGCCATCACGTTTATACTGTGTGTATTATAACTTGTGTTGGAGATATATCCCAGCATCGTGCTTACATCGCATGCACTTAGGAGTGGGGGAAGAAATGGCGATTTGGGAGTGGGTGCGGCGGGTCGCAGGTGGCCAGACACTGCGGGGGACTGGCGACCTGAAATTGGCAAAGGCGCCTCCTTGACCCTGCTCCACGGACACAAAAATCAACCTTATTCGCTCCTGGAAAAAGCGCAGAGGGTTGTTCCCGAAGGCTGAAGACCCTCGGGCTTGGGACTGGGAGCGGGGCGCGGGCAGCGGGACCGCCGGGCACCTCTGAAGAGACAGAGGTCACGGAGACCTGGCGCGCGCGGAGTGGGTGGGGGGCCCGCGCGGCTGCGGGAGCCCAGCCTCAGAGAAGACCCGGCCCACACGTTCTCAGCGCACGCCGACTTTGCCGGGACCCGTCGCCGGCCGGCGACCCCTGCTACGCGCGTCTCCTCCTCCCCCGCCCCGCCCGGCGCGAAACGGGCAACGGGCAGGGGATCCTCCAGCCAGGCGGGCCCGGGGTGTCCCGTTTCCCCCGCCCCCCTCCCGTGGATCCCGGGCGGCGGCGGCCGCGCGTCCGGGCTGGAGGGGGCGCTCGCGAGCAGGAGCCGAGCGCAGCAGGTGCCGCGGTTACCTCCACCTCGGCGGGGGGAGAGGGGGCGGGCCGGGGGGCAGGGAGGAGGGGGAGGAGGAGGAGGAGGAGGAGGAGTGGGGCCGGCTCCAGGAGCTGGAGAGCGCGGCCGGCTCGGCAGGCTGGGTCCAGAGCTCGCGGCTTCCGGGAGGCGCCCGAAGTCGGAGAAATACAGCGCGGCCACCCCGGGAGCAGCAGCCTTTGCCCGCACCGCCGCCCGCAGGGCCCTGAACCGCCGGCAAGGGCGCGGGCCGGGCGCGGCGCCGGCTCCTCCTCCTGCCGCGTCCGGCGCGGAGCAGCGGAGAGCGGCGGGCTCGGCAGCCGGCGCCCGGGCCGCGGAACTGATGAGCCGCGGCGGCTGAGGGCCCGGCCGGCCTCTGCCCGCCTCTGCCCGGCGCCCGAGCGGGGCCGCAGCGCCCGGGGCGCGGGGTCCGGCGGGTGACATGGGGGCGGCCTGACGCACCCGGAGCCGCCGAGCGCTCTCTCTCGAGCCGCGGGCCCTCCTCGGCGGCAGCGGCTGCAGGCGCCTGGCCCGGCGCGCTGTGCCCGGGGCGCCCGCGGAGCCTCCGCCGCGCTCTATGCGCCTCTGCGGGAGCCGCGGGCCCGGGCCATGGCCATAGACCGGCGGCGCGAGGCGGCGGGCGGCGGGCCTGGGCGGCAGCCGGCCCCGGCCGAGGAGAACGGCTCCCTGCCGCCCGGGGACGCGGCGGCCTCGGCGCCCCTCGGGGGACGCGCGGGCCCCGGCGGCGGCGCGGAGATCCAGCCGCTGCCCCCACTGCATCCTGGAGGCGGCCCGCACCCGAGCTGCTGCTCCGCGGCTGCGGCCCCGAGCCTCTTGTTGCTGGACTATGACGGGTCGGTGCTGCCCTTCCTCGGGGGCCTGGGCGGGGGCTATCAGAAGACCCTCGTGCTGCTCACCTGGATCCCGGCGCTGTTCATCGGCTTCAGCCAGTTCTCGGACTCGTTCCTCCTGGACCAGCCCAACTTCTGGTGCCGCGGGGCCGGCAAAGGCACCGAGCTGGCAGGGGTCACCACCACAGGCCGGGGCGGGGACATGGGCAACTGGACCAGCCTCCCCACCACCCCCTTCGCCACTGCCCCCTGGGAGGCTGCGGGCAACCGGAGCAACAGCAGCGGCGCGGACGGAGGCGACACACCACCCCTGCCATCCCCTCCGGACAAGGGGGACAACGCCTCCAACTGTGACTGCCGCGCATGGGACTACGGCATCCGCGCCGGCCTCGTCCAGAACGTGGTCAGCAAGGTAAGGGCCGCAGCCGCCCAGTCCCTCCAACCCTCTCCCTGCAGACCGAGGTCCAAGCCCGAGCCAGCGGGAGAACCGAAGTCCCCAAAGTGGTGGTGCTAGAGTGTGTGTAGGGCATTCCGCATTGGCTTAATCTCCTTCCGTCCCCCAAACCACATGCCTTTACTTGGGTGTAAAGGGAGCACCATAGCCTTTACTAGTTTGCACCCAAACTCCTGTCCCAGTACGCGGATGGAAAGCGCGCCCTTCCCCCACCCTCGGGGCGAGGCAGCTGACCTGTCACCAGCCCCCTCTGGAGGAGTCGGACTGGCGTCGTTCAAGGTCTGCTGGGGGAGTCGGGACCACAGCCCTGTTCTGCCCGGCTAGTTGTCCCTGGGTCTCCCACAAAGCAATAGTCTTCCATCTCGCACTTGATTTTGACACAGGTAAAGCCTACTAAAGAACTGGAGAGCCAGAGAAGCAAAGACTCCTGCAAATCCCCAACCCGCAGCCGATGCTTAGTCCTCCCCAAAGATATCTGACTTTAGGCTTTGCTACCCCAGTGTCTCCTCCCATGTTTTCTCAGCACTTCAGTAAACATCACTACAGTATAGGAAGGACGCGGAGAATATGTCATTTGGGTGTTCCCCGGCCGTCACCGCTCTTACACAGCAGCTGCTTTGGGCTGAGGCACTGAGAACGGGGGTGTGCTTTAGCTGAAACATGCACCTTGTCCTCTGAGTCCTGTAGCTAAAGCTCCCTTGCAGAGGTATTGCGTGGTGTGAAATGTAGCAGAAGGGAGTTGTGAGACAAGTGTGAAGGCCTAAACACAGAGTGGGCAATGGTGGACACTCAATGCCCCTAGACAGCTGTAATTTTATTCTTAACATATAAGAGATATCAAGACATTTGTAGTTTTGCTCCTTGTGTCTAAACTAATTAATTCACATTTTAAAGTAAATACAGACTCTCCTCCACCCCACCCGCTACCCATTCTGGGCTGTTCTGGCAGAGTTTTAAATGCTTTGTCGAAATGTATGAAATTGGACAGTTTTAAATAGTCAATGTGCATGTAACCTCCTCCCCCCGTGTGCATTGGTTAACAGTTGTAGCTCATGGATGTGTAAGATAAACTCTTACATCATCATAATCATTGTTTTAATCTTGTACCAACCTGGCCAGAAATGCTCTGTCCTGTGGGAACTGTCTGACTGAGCTGCCCCTGCTGCCCTGCAAGGTAATGGGGAAGGTCCTTCTAGCTGGGTTCACCTTGATCCCACCCACCTCCTACCCCCTGCTTTCTAAAGGTGTTTCTGTGACTGTTTTCCCTTCACGGAGGGCAATATTTCTTTGTTGGTTTAGCAGCAAAGAAAAATTAAGAACAATGACTATTTAAATCACTGTGTATGTCTGACAGACTGAGGATTTGGCAACATTGTTAAGTATTTCAAGTGTCTTTCTAGAGCAGAGGGAGAATAATGGATCAAAGTGAGTATGTGTGAAGAGCGCTGTGTCCTGGGGTCAAAGTAGAGGTGAACTTGAAAGTGATGAGATGGGATAGAGTGCCATTACCTTGGCAGTGAGGACCCAGGAAACAGCTATTCACACTCAGCCATGCACGGTGGGAGGAGAGAACAAAAATAGTTCTTAAAAGCAGACTATGGAGGCATATTGGAGAGCTGGGCAGTTTTTCTAAATTAGCATTCGAGAGGGTCACAGACAGCCCTCATGTGTGTGGCATGTTTTGGGTGATGCTTGATGACACGTTGCAGTTACTGGGCCAGACTGAGAGGGGAAACCTGGGAACAATAATTAGACACACATTTTCTTATACAGTAAAGCCTAGAAAGGACATATTGATTTTCACAGACAAAAAAGATCTAAATAAAGGACTGCCTTCCCAGTGTTCTGTGTGTTTCAAGCACATAACAAATGCTTCAAAGAGCTTTTCAAGCACATTTTGGCATGTTGGAAGGCAGACTTTTCCTGTGCTGCTGTGTATGTTGAATACTGTATCAGATGCACTAATGTGGGATGTACACTATGGTGAGTGCAGGAGTTCCAGGGGTCAGGTGCTTGTCAGCCCACATCCCAAGTAGAAGCAGAAAGTGGAAGGAGCCTTTGCCTTCTTTCAGTGGATAAAAGCTCAGGGTTTGAGAAGCTGCCTTTTGTGCCTCTTTCCTGCTCTGTTCCATGATCTTTCTCTTGCAAATAAGCCTCATGCTGTCTTCAGCATGTATCCTGTATTTAGTATGTATCCTTTAGCGTGTGTGTGCCCTACAATATATGCACCATTCTGTCCCTAGGTGTCAGAAAGGGAGAGGAAGACAGAAGAGCTACCAGGCACAGTTCTGGACCTCTTTCTCATGTGGCTGCTGGTATCCTAGCACCTACCTACACACGTGAAACTGTCAAGCCAGTTAGAATCCCAGGTTATTGTAGTTAAAAGGGATCTTAGGGCTGACCAGCCTCTCTCGCCTTCTGCATGATATCTCTAACATGAAGTTATCCATCCTAGTTTGAACACTTCCATCGATGGAAAGGGAGTGCTTTGTTAACAAGGCAGCTAGTCCATCCCGTAGTTGCTTTTCCTTGCAGGAAGGCACACTTTGGTAAATAAAACTCAGGTTAACTCATGCCTATTTGTGCCACTTGCTCCTCAGAATAATTTTTTTTAAAAAATTATTTCTTAAATAAAATGTGTTTTCAATAGCTTCTTTCCTGGCTGAAAAATCTACAGTACTTAAGCTATTCCATACGTGCAAAAATTTGCCATACTTATCGCTCTGGTTGGCATGTGTGTCTCTTAAGCATGGTACCCAGAATCCAACCCAGCCAGGCCCTGTGTGTTCTAACCCAAAGAGGGGATTGATGGATACTGTCCTTCCCCTACTGCAACCTAGAGTTGATTCATTAGGCTTAAACTAGACATGACATACTTCTGCTTCCAGACCATGATCACCAACCCCTCCAATGTTGTTTTCCTGGGAGTGGTGGATGAAATCAGGATTTTCTCAGTTTTAGGCTCATGTAGCATGACCATGACTTAGGTTTCATCTTAACAATTTTGAGTTTCTAGATCTCTCCCGTTAGGATCTTTTTATTTTTTGCCTTGGCCTTTGTATTTGTTATTGGTACCAGAATTTGCATCGCAGAATCTGCAATGCCTTCAAAATAATGACAACATTAATGTCAGTTTCTTTTGTGCAGCCCTTTATAGTTTATAAAACATTTCATATACATTATTTTCTTTGATTAAGAATAATAACCCAAGGTCAGTCTCTAGGCTTTTTTTTTTTTTTTTTTTTTTTTTTTTTTTTTTTTTTTAGACAGCGTCTGGCTCTGTTGCCCAGGCTGGAGTCCAGTGGTACGATATCACAGCTCTCTGAAGCCTCCACCTCCCAGGCTTAAGTGATCTTTCTGCCTCAGCCTCCTGAGTAGCTGGGACTACAGGCATGCACCACCACACCTGGCTCATTTTTATTTTTATTTTTTTGTAGAGAGGGGGGTCTTGCTATATTGCCCAGGCTGGTGTTGAACTCCTGGCCTCAAGCTGTCCTTCTGCCTCGGCCTCCCAAAGTGTTAGGATTATAGGTGTGAGCCACCAGCCAGACTAATAGCAGGTGCCAATCATGGATTTTAAGTCAGTGAACACACAGTTGAGTGTGCCATGTGTTCTGTACAAGAACCAGGTACAGATGCTCCTCTGCTTCGGATGGTGTTGTGTCTTGTGTCCAGATAAACCCCTCATCAGTTGGAAATATTGAAAGTGGAAAATACATTTAATACACCTAACCTACTGAATATGCTGGCTTAGCCCAGCCTACCTCAGATGTGCTGAGAACACTCACATTAGCCCACAGTTGGGCAGAATCATCTCACACAAAGTCTGTTTTATAATGTGTTGAATATCTCGTGTGACTTACGGAATACTGTACTGAAAGTGAAAAAGAGAATGGTTGTGTACTTCAGATACTCACACAACCATCGTGTTTTTCACTTCTGGTGAATAAAGCAGCCCTTATCGATACAGTTTCTACTGAATGTGTATCGTGTTCACACCATCATCAAGTCAAAAAATCATCAAGTTGAACCGTTTTAAGCCGGGGACCATCTGTGTTCAACTTTCTGATGACTTTCACAAGCTCTGCATTTTATCTCCCAGCTCTGTTGTAAGGTATTGTCAGTGCCTTGCAGAAAAGAATCAAATTCCTTCCAAGTGACATAGACAGCAAGTTTTGGAGAGCTAAGGACAAACAGGGCCGCAGCTCAGCTCAGTTGGCTTGCTTCTCCCACACCAGCATTCCCTGCGCAGCCCAAGTTCTCAGATACTTCTGAGATCTTAGTCAACAAAGTTAAAACAAAACAAAACAAAACAAAAAAACAAAGACTCCATGGACTTGCAAATATTGCGCTTAATGATTTGCACAGGCTGGGTGCAGTGGCTCACGCCTGTAATCCCAGCACTTTGGGAGGCCTAGGTGGATGGATCATTTGAGATTAGGAGTTTGAGACCAGCCTGGCCAACATGGTGAGCCCTCATCTCTACTAAAAATAGAAAAATTAGCTGGGCGTGGTGGCGCACGCCTCTAATCCCAGCTACTAGGGAGGCTGAGGCAGGAGAGTCCCTCAAGCCTGGGAGTGAGAGGTTGCAGTGAGCGAGATCGCGCCACTGCACTCCAGTCCGGGCGACAGAGTGAGACCCTGTCTCAAAAAATAATAATAATTTGCACAGTGTATCCTGCATTGTTCTGACTGAATCTGTTGGTTTCTAATACTCAGCACTTTCTTGAGTAATCTCTAGAACTTTTGCCAATAATCAATGCCAGCTGAACTTGCCCCAATTTTTTCTGTATTTGAAATGTAGGATGTTTGTCCAGCTCCAATCTTCTGGTAGCATTTCCTCTGTTCTCATGAATTTGCAAAGATTTCTGACCTTTATCCTGAAAGTTGCTTAAATATCCTGGGAAGTAATTTGTATCCTTTTTCTAGGGCTAAAGAGTAGAAGTTATTTAAAGTGACTTTAAGTACAATTTAATTAAGACTAGAAATAATTATATCATTGCAACAGTAACACTTTTAAAAATAGCCCACAATTCCATGATCCTAGTTATCATATGATGACTAGTTTTCACTTTTGAAATGCCTTACACACAAACCTGTTTTCACAGTTCTAATCAAAGTGTTTATTTAATGGAATCTACTATTTTCTTGACACCTCATCAAAAGAATTTGTCCATTTCTTCCGAAACATTTTAAATGCATGATATTTTTGCTGATTTATTAAAAGTTCTTAAATTCTTTTCCTAATACCGAACTGACGGCCGGGCACAGTGGCTCACGCCTGTAATGCCAGCACTTTGGGAGGCCGAGGCGGGCGGATCACGAGGTCAGGAGTTCCAGACCAGCCTGGCCAACATAGTGAAACCCCATCTCTACTAAAAATACAAAAATTAGCCGGGCATGGTGGTTTACGTCTGTATTCCCAGCTACTCGGGAGGCTGAGGTAGGAGAATCGCTTGAACCTGGGAGGCGGAGGTTGCGGTGAGCCGAGATCACTCCACTGCACTCCAGCCTGAGCAACAGAGCGAGACTCCGTCTCAAAAAAAAATAATAAAATACTGAACTGACTACCATGAGGTCATCCCAGTGGTGGCTTTTGTCTAGTATATGCAACAACAGTGGATATCTTCATGCATATCTATTTTTAAAAATTGACTATAGTAGGTAATACATGTACATTGTACAGAAAGCATAGCATAAAAGTAACATTTCTTTCTGTCTCTGCCCCCAGTTTCCCTCTTCAGAAGCAACCATGGTTACCAGTTTCTCACATCCCCTTCCAGAAATGTTCTACTTTCATTTACATATTTTGTCTCAGAAACACTAGCGTATCCGAAACACTGTTTTTTCACTTATGCTGGAGATGAATACATCAGTACATAGAGATACTCATTCTTTTTTATGTCTGCATAGTATTCCATTGTCAGACTGGACTGCCATTTATTTAACTAATCACTTACCGAGGAAGCATTAAGTTTGTCTCCAGTCTTTGCTGTTATATTCACAATATATCACGAAATCTTGGCATGCACAGACATTTGCACACGTGTAAGAAATTTTTAGAAGTGGGAGGGTGAAAGTAGGCTGCATTTTTATGTTAATACTGTCAGAGTGTTTTCTGTAGAAATCTTAGCTATGCACAATTATACTAATAATATGTGTGGTTCTGTTCCCTACACCCTCCCTGACCCAGGGGATTATCAAATCTTTACATATTTTCTAGTTTGATGTGCAAAAAATTGTATTTGGTGGTGGTTGTGACTTGCATTTCTCTTGTTATGAAGGAAGTTAAACATCTTTTTGAAAGTTTTTGAGCCATCCATATTTCCTGTTCTTTGAACAGTCTCTTCATTTCCTTTGCCTTTATGTGTGTGTATATGCTGTGAGAAGCATTATTTTCTTATGTATTTATAGGTACACTTTATGTATGATGTAAATTAACCCTTCTGGATGACTTGTAACCATTTTCCTCGAGTTTGCTGTTTGGTTTTTTAAATTTTGTACATGATATTTTTGTTATGTAGAAACGTATGGTTTGGTTAGAGTTGTATGAATTAATCTTCTTTTTTATGATTTCTTATGTTAGCTTTAAGGCTTGGAAGATTCCTGGAAGACTGGGGGGAAATCCTATGTTTTCTTCTAACATTTTTATGATCTTATAACTTCTTTATTTTGGGGTTGGAGATACCTGTTTTGCTTTTCTGAGCTATTAGGATAAATTGCTAGAAAGGTCAGAGGATATAACCAGCATTTCATGCAGACGTTGACTTGCTTGTAACAACGTCCTAAACATTTAGTTTGGCAGTGGCCCTTATTAATGTAAGGATTAGAGGCTAGCCAGCTGTTAAGCAGCCTTTCCACCTCCGTTTGGGAGATAGCTGTCTTCCCAGGTCACAGGTCTCCCTTTCCTTCTTCATCTTCCTGTTCTGAACCATCTGCAGATCTCTCCCTCTCCCTCTCCGTCTCCCTCTGCCTCTCTGTAGCAACATTTTCTGCAGGTGCCTTTACTTTGGCCTTTAGTCCAAGATAGGATTGAGTCGAAAGTTGGTGTCATTTAAAAACATGGTGGGGGCTGGGCGCGGTTGCTCACGCCTGTAATCCCAGCACTTTGGGAGGCCGAGGTGGGCGGATCACGAGGTCAGGAGTTCAAGACCATCCTGGCCAACGTGGTGAAACCCCGTCTCTACTAAACATACAAAAAAATTAGGAGGGCGTGGTGGCGGGCGCCTGTAGTCCCAGCTACTCGGGAGGCTGAGGCAGGAGAATGGCGTGAACTCGGGAGGCGGAGCTTGCAGTGAGCGGAGATCACAACACTGCACTAACTGTCTGGGGGACAGAGCCAGGCTCCGTCTCAAAAAACAAAAAACAAAAAACAAAAAAACATGGTGGACTTTCTGAATCTTTGTCCTGAGGTTGCCACAAACTGGTGGTGTGTGGGAGCCAGCTTGGCTTCTATTGACTCTGAGCCTGCTGCACGTGTCTATCCAACTTCACATTCAGTAATGTCATGCTGGCAGCTTGAAATTCACCATGGTGGGAGCATTTACACCATAGGAATTGGCAAACAGTGGAGATCAGGGTTTTTTTTCTTCATAGAGCCGGTTGTTAAACATTTATCACACTAATGAGTGTGACCCTGGACCACTTGAAAAAATTTTTTTGGCCGGGCGCGGTGGCTCACGCCTGTAATCCCAGCACTTCGGGAGGCCGAGGGAGGTGGATCACCTGAGGTCAGGAGTTCAAGACCAGCCTGACCGACATGGTGAAACCCCGCCTCTACTAAATATACAAAAATTAGCTGGGCATGGTGGTGGGTGCCTGTAATCCCAGCTACTCAGGAGGCTGAGGCAGGAGAATCGCTTGAACCCAGGAGGCAGAGGTTGCAGTGAGCCAAGATTGCGCCATTGCACTCCAGTCTGGGCAACAGAGTGAGACTCCATCTATCTCAAAAAAAAAAAAAAAAAAAGAGAGAGAGAGGCCAGGCATGGTAGCTCATGCCTGTAATCCCAGCACTTTGGGAGGCCGAGGTGGGTGGATCATGAGGTCAGGAGATGGAGACCATACTGACTAACACAGTGAAACCCCATCTCTACTAAAAATACAAATAATTATCCAGGTGTGGTGGCGGGCACCTGTAGTCCCAGCTACTTGGGAGGCTGAGGCAGGAGAATGGCGTGAACCCGGGAGGCGGAGCTTGCAGTGAGCCGAGATTGCACCACTGCACTCCAGCCTGGGCAACAGAGCAAGACTCTGTCTCAGACAAAAAAAAAAAAAAAAAAAGAAAGTTTCTTTCCTCTCTCCTCCTTTTCACAGATTTGAGTGCCTGTTCTGAGCTGAGCATTGTGCTATGTGTTGGGGATACAATGATATGTGAAAGTAGACAGCTCAGCTTCCATAGAGCTTAGAGACTTCTGGGGAAGGCACACCCAAACTGATCAAGTAATAATCTTTTCATTACAAAGTGAGTTAAGCGTGTAGAAAGAAAGGGAATTGAGAGACTAGAACAACAACAACAAAACCCTGACCTAGACAGACTGGTCTATGTAAGAAAGTGACATCTGAGATGAGAGCTGAGGTTTGAGTAGGAGGTAGAGAGAGAGGCAAAAGAGGAGAGATGTGTGTGTTTTCCAGAGACAGCAAATGGCACTTGCAAAGGCCCTGTGGTGTGTAGGGCCTGGAATTGATAGCAATTGATATGGGAATGGGGGGTGGCGATGGCTTATAAACCGTGCTAAGAACTTTTCCTCTAATTTTAGAGCAAAGGAAAACCATTAAAGAGTATTAAGTGGGATAAGGGATATGATGCAGTCAGAGTTCGTATTTTTGAAAAGACCTCTCTGGCTGCAGTGAGATCTCGCGTGGTGGGGAGGGGAGGCTGTGCTGAGTGCACAGGAGAAAGCCAGCGAGGCCTGTAGAAGATGCTGATAACTCCCCCAGGGCTGACGGGGAGGCAGACACTCTCGGGAGATACCAGGGAGATGCCCTTAGCCAGCTGAGGTGAGGCCTTGGGAATGGAGGGCTTCAATGGAGGGCATGTGGAGTGAGACGAGGGCCTGGGCCCAAACACCGCACGTACGATGGAGACTTGGGGCTCTGTAGCCACCCATAGGCAGAGGGGAGGGAGGAGAGCTTTTGACAGGGAAAGGCAGCCTGACCAGAGGTTCTGGAGGAAACTGGGCCTGTTTGGGAAGCAGACATGCTGGCCTGCGCAGGGGTTCTGGGGATGAATAGTGGGAAGTCCTACTGGAAGCTCAGAGGCCAGACAAGGGGGCCTGAGCCTGTTCCCAGGGCTGTCGATAGAAAACTCGGGGCCTTTGGCGTGTTCTGCCATTTTCTCTGGCCCTCCTACTCAACAAGGGAGGATGCTAATTAAGTTTCCACACAGCTGAAAGACCCAGATATGTGAAACCATGGGGCTAGAATTTGCCTTCAAATTCAGCTGGCTTTGCCTTTGCTAATTGCTTAGTCTAGGTAAAAGATTGTCCTGGGCGTGGCCATGTTTAATATGATTATCTAGTCCAAGCCTTCAGTTTAGATGAGAAGGCTGAGCTGGAGGGCCATTGGCTTGTCCAAAGCCACCAACCTATTAGGGTTTGAATTCAGTTCTCCTTATCCTCTGCCCCAGAGTGGCCCTTACCATGGGAGAGGGGCTGGGAAGGGCTGGCAGGGGCTCCCACCCTTTGTGACTTCTCCCTGGCGCTGGCCTTTCAGAGGTGACCCTCCCGTTGTGCTTGAGAATGGTGGTTGCTGTATGTTTGGGTTTCTGGACAGTTCAGCTGTGGCTTTGCATGGGTGGACTTCCGCAGAACACCTCTCTGGGCAGATTTCTCTACTCTCTGTCTTCTTAGTCCCGGCTAGCCAGGCCCCCATCTTGTCTTGCTGCTTTTAACACCACAGGCCCGAGAGACAGAAAATAAGATGGAAACCTGCCCACATCACTTCCCTGCTTGAAGCCTTCCATGGCTCCCCATCACTGCAGCACCCATCAAGGGTGCCCTCAGCCCTGAGCCCCACATGTCTTTCCTCTCCTCCCCTGCCACCCCTCCTTGTTGTAGGGGGCATCTTGTATATATTAATAGTTCCCAGCCCGGTCTCTCTCACTGCCTTGTGCCTTGCTCATGCTATTCCACTTGCTCGAGCCCCTTCCCTCCTTCCTTCAGCCCCTTGGTTCCTGCTCATCCCTCAGGTCAGCTCAGTCTCCATCTGAAGGACGGCAACCAGCTGTCCCCTTATCCAAGCCCTCACTGGACCCTGGTTGGAAGGATGCCCGTCTCTCTCCCCTCCTGAAGCTCTTTGACTTTATGAGGTTAACACCATAAATGTCTGAACTCATCTGAACTTGATGTCATGAAAAGGGCAAGAGTGGCCGGGCACAGTGGCTCATGCCTGTAATCCCAGCACTTCGGGAGGCCGAGGCAGGTGGATCCCCTGAGGTCAGGAGTTTTGAGACCAGCTGGCCAACATGGTGAAACCCTGGTCTCTACTAAAAATACAAAAATTAGCTGGGTATGGTGGTGCGTGCCTGTAATCCCAGCTACTCAGGAGGCTGAGGCAGGACAATTGCTTGAACCTGGGAGGCGGAAGTTGCAGTGAGCCAAGATGGCGCCATTGCACTCCAGCCTGGGGGACACAGTGAGACTCTGTCTCAAAAAAAAAAAATAAAGGGGGGCAAGAGTGGCAGGCCTGGCTTGCAGCCCCAACTCTGCCACTTGTCATGGGTCTCTCTCCCAGAGCATTACTGCACCTGTTTCCTCAATGGTAGAATGCGGTCAGTGCTGCCTGACCTTGAGGGCCATTGTGAGGACAGACGCAGAACACTGGGAAGCGTGCCCCACCCCCACGTACCTGGCAAACAGCCCCCACCCTGGAAGCCTCAGGTGCCTTCCTTCCTCCCCTTGGTGGGGTGAGGACGACCGGGATGAGTCGTCTGAGAAGCACTTTGAGGGGGGAGGAGCTGAAGGCCACACCTGGAAGGGCGATTTATTCCTTGGGCGCTGCCAGGTGTCTGCCGCCTTCACCCAGAAACCGATGATGTTCGGAGCCAGGTATGCCCTTCAGACAGGAAGCCTGCATCCAGGGTGATGGGAGGAGCCCCACCAAAAAGCACCCTCTACAGGGTTTATGTGTCTAAGTTCCAACCTGAAAACAAAACAGGTCACCGGGCCACAGGGCTCAGAGAGAGGCCGGGATCAGAAAGCCAGGGGACCTTCCTGGGTAGCCAAGGCCTGGTTAGCCAAGGCCGGGAGAGTGGGGCTCTGCCTGGCGCTTCACTGCCTCCTGGAGTTCTCAGGCCAGAAATCTGAGTTTATGCCATTGAGTGGAAGATGAGCTGCATGTGTTTGAAAGCCTGGCTTGGGTGTGCTGCGTGAACATATGGCTCAGAGAGAGTGGAATTTGAGAGACGAGTTGTTGGTGACTTTGAGCTCATAGCAGCAGAGCTCAGAGAGCAAACGTAGGGGCAAGTTGAAAACTGGAGAAAGGGCTGGGGCCCCTTCCCACTTGCAGCTGAGATTTTATGGGATGCCATGGACTTTGACCTCAGTATTGTAGAAACCTTAATCTTCTGCAGGCTGGGGTTTAGTTGTTTTGTTCTTTGTGTCACTATTGATGAGCAGATCTCCCTCCACACAAGTGATTTAGAGATTGACAGGGACCTATTTGTCTGGGAAAGGGCAGGGGCTGTTGAGTGCATGAAGTGGATTCCTCTAAAATAAACCATTGCTGTGAGAGGATACCGCCAGCACGCGCCCACCCATGGCATCTGCATGGTATTGTATCCTGTCAGACCTCTCTTCGGTCTCTTTTGGCTACAAGTAACTAAAACAAATTTAAATTACATTAACAAAATATAAAAGGAATTTCTTGGAAAGATGCAGGGCAGCAGGTGGAAGGTGGGATCTGAGATCACAAAGTGGGGTGGGGAGTGTCTTTTAGGACACTCAGAAGCTATATCTTCTCATCCCATTCTCCAGAAGTGAGCTCGGTTCCCACTTCAAACTGGCTTCGCCTGATGCTTTTGCTCATGTGATCCCTGGTCAAGCAACGGCCAACACAGAGGTCAGCATCTCTCTGTCCAACTCCAGCTTCCTGGGTGCAAATCTGATTCCCAGCATGGATTGGGGTGAGGGAAAGGAGGTTTTGGAGCAGGGAGTGAGGTTACGCAGGGCTGGGGACTCCTTCAAACGGTGTGACAGGATATGGTTCCGGCTGTTCTTCAAGCTGGGGTGGAAGGGGTTATAGGCAGATGTTTCTGGCAATTAATTGAGGGTAATTGAGTATTGATGATTTAACCACTAAATGCTTTAAACAAAGTATTCTTTTCCCTCCCAGAGACTCAGGATGTAACTCACCTGCTGGCTACTTGAGCTGAGTGTGGAATTAGCAGGAACATACCTCCTGAGGCTTCTCTTCTAGGAATAATTAAACATGGCCTTAGATATTAGCTCCAGATCACCCAGGGATCTTGGAAGGAGCCGTTGGACAGTCACCAACACAGTGTTGCCAATTGTCACTCCCACCCCTGCCTTCACACAGGGCCAGTCTCCTGCTTTCCAAACATTTCTTCTAGTCAGGGCCAGCTACATAATTCGCAGGTCCCCGTGGAAAATAAAAATGCAGAGTCCCTTGTTGACAAAGTGTGTTGTCACCACTGCAGAGCTAGGCAAGGGTTTCCCCAAGCCTTTCCCAGTCTGTCTTCCTTGTTTCTCAGTAACTTCTCTGCCTCTCCTCCATTGTACTTCATGTCTTTTTCTAGATTTCTTTTGGTAAAAAGCAAAACACACTTTTTGAGGGCCTACTTTTCCCAGGGAACAGCTTTACAGAGCCCTGAGCAATTTTGTTTGGGATGTTTGGTTAGCTCAAGGTGTGCAATGGCATGAAGGAGCCAGGGAGCAGTCTTCCATTTGAAAATGCCGCTCTCTCAAAGTTGAGACAGTTGCTTTACTTATCTGAACAGAGAACCAAAGAGCTGAGTCACAGAGATGTGTGGTTAAGGATGTTAAGTCGTAGGAATGCTAGTTAAGTGTTTATCAGGTGTTTTTTTTTTTTAAATAAAGTGGGGAGGAGGGTCAATCCTTTATGTAATTTAATTCAACTAGCTAACAGTCGTGCTTTATTTCTTAGAATCATTTTAAAAATAGGTGCAAGGGAGATAATGCTGGCTTAAAACAGCCACAAGCATCCCAGTGGTCATATTGTATTATGGACGGGTTATGTACTTAGCATCGTAATTTGCACTATGGAGTGTTTCCTCCCAGATTAGATGAAAAGCTGCCTTTTGCATGTGTTTACAAGATGCTTTACAAATTGGGCGCCCTTGATTGCTATGTGTTGAGGAACTCCACTGTTCTCAGATGGATATACTTTAGCGTCTGCAGTAAGCGGATAGTCTTTGTCCTACTCTTTTTAAAACTTGTCTTTATTTGTAATTGTGGTAAAACTATAAATTATAAAATGTACTATTTTAGCCATTTTTCAGTGTACAGTTCTGTGGCTTTAGGTGCATCCTCATTGTTGTGCAGCTGGCACCATCATCCATCTCCAGAACAATTCCATCTTCCCAAACTGAAACTGTCCCCATGAAACCCCAGCTCCCCATTCCCCTCCTCTGGCAACCCCACGCTACCTTCTGCCTCTTTGAATTTGCTTACTCCGGGTACCTCATATAAATAGAGCATTTGTCCTTTTGTGACTGGCTCATGTCGCTCAGCGTGATGTCTTCAAGGCTCATCCATGTGGTAGCGTGTGTGAGCGTTTCCTGCCTGCCTTAGACTGAGGAATACGCCATTGTGTGCCTGCACCACATTCTGTTTGTTTGTTCACCCATCGGCAGACACTTGGGTCGCCTCTACCCCTTGGCTATGGTGCATGTGCGGCTGGGAACTTGGGTGATGCCCTCCTTCTTGAAGACAGTTCCGGACAATCCCTCCATCCCTCCCGTGCCCTCCCCTTCAGAGGCAGTGCTGCAGCTGCTTGCGTGGTGTCCCTGTCTTCCTCTCAGAACATCTGCCCTGGGCTGGTGTCACAGATGGGTAGAAGATCGTGTCTGCCCTGGAGAAGGGAGCTCCTCATGTAGCCGGAGACGGTTGGGAAATTGAATATCCCTGGCATGCGGCACAGGATGAGCGGGGCAGGGAATGGGAGCTGAGGGTGGGGGGTGAACCGAGCACATCCCAGGAGGGCAGGTGCAGTGCACTGTGAGGTGCCTTGGCCCAAGAACAGGACAAGGTGCAGGGGCGCAGAGGAGTCGCTTCCGTCAGTGGGCAGGGAAGCCCAGGGGGCTGTGGCATCTGAGCTATCCCCAAGGAGGGCTTGGGTTTGAGCAGTTGAAAGGATTGAGAGAGGACCTCTTCTGTGAGGAGCTGATGAAGGTGGGGAAGGGACATGTGCAGAGTGCAGAGAGGACGTGGCCTAGAGGAGGGCATGGGTCCTGACCCTGCAAGGCCCCCCTACAAAGCCATAGAGTCAGCCTTCGGCATAGCTTGATTTTTTTCCCCCAGTAGACAATGAGTCTCCTGAACTTTGTAAGTAAGGAAATGATGGAAGAACGAGATTTTAGGACTTGATGGGAGAGATCCAGGAGAGAAGGGCTCGTGTCCACCCAAAGGGTCTGTCCACAGCCCCTCAAGCCAGCCCCTGAGGCGCTGTACCTCCAGGACACACCCATGTTACTCAATGCCTCTTGAAAACCACCTGAACGAGCCCCCATCACAAAACTGTGGTAGGCCCCATGGTCCTACCTGGGGGCCACAGCCCTCTCCCTCTCGACATGTCTGAGCTCCTGCCAAGCACCTTCTCTGCCCAGTGCCCAGTGCTCCTGCCTCCTACAGGCCCCAGCCCAGCACCATGTGGTCTCTCCACTACAGAGGCTGTCAGGCTTGCCTGATGCCGGACCCCACACAACTGCTCAGGAATTTCAGTTGACCTCCCTGGGTGAGTTTCTAGGGCTGCAGAATACCACAGACGGGCAGCTTCAACTGCAGAGATGTATTTCCTTACAGTTCTGGAGGCTGGAAGTCCAAGACCAAGGTTCAGCAGGATTGGTTTCTCCTGAGGCCTCTCTCCTTGGCTTGTTACATGGCTGTCTTCGTGTCCTCACACAGTCTTCCCTCTGTGTGTGTCTGCGTCCTCATCTCCTCTTCTTTTTTTTTTTTTTTCTGAGACGGAGTCTTGCTCTGTTGCCCAGGCTAGAGTGCAGTGGTGTGATCTCAGCTCACTGCAACCTCCACCTCCTGGGTTCAAACTATTCTCCTGCCTCAGCCTCCCGAGTAGCTGGGATTACAGGCGCCCGCCACCGTGCCCAGCTAATTTTTGTATTTTTTAGTAGAGATGGGGTTTCACCATCTTGGCCAGGCTGGTCTCGAACTCCTGACCTCATGATCCACCTGCCTCGGCCTCCCAAAGTGCTGGGATTACAGGCATGAGCCACCGCACCCGGCCACTCATCTCCTCTTCTTATAGGGACCCCAGTCGAATTGGATCAGGACCCACCCTAATAGCTGCATTTGACCTTACTACCCTCTTTAAAAGCCCACTCTTGAAACACAGTCACATTCTGAGGTCCTGGGGGTTACAGCTTCAACGCTGGAGCTTTGAGGGGACAGTACAGCTCATGACAGCAGAGCTCCAGCATGGACCCTGAGCAGGGCAGCTCTGATCTGTATCTGCACCCGGGATAGTTCCCTGAAGCCCTAGGCCTGTGCATTCCCCAACCTGCTGGACTGGCCCTCTCTTGTGGTACCTGATCTTATCTGTGCCTTTTCCCTAAATCCCAGTGTTTTGGTCCTTGGACCCTAGCTGAGTGGCTCTTTATCACTCCCTTGCTTCAAATCCTCCGTGGCTCTCCATGACCTTTAAGGTGAAGTTGGGCCTGGGTGGTAGGTTTCACGGTCTCTGCCTGCCTCTCCTGCCTCCATCCCCATCATCCCCACAGGGACCCCAGAGCTCCACCCACCGATTTGTTTATTTCCCAAACAATGCTGTGTTCCCCCATGCTCTTCTTTCAGCCCAGAGTCCACCCCTCCATCCTGTTGCCTCCTTCAGACCTTCTTGGCTCCCTCTTCCTCCCTTCCCGTTTCCCACCCCTGCTGTCCTGGCCTGAATATATATCCTCAGCCCCTGGGCCTAGCAGGTACTCTGTAAACACTTCCTGCATGGTGCCAGTAAGGAGGTGGCGAAAGGGTTTTGCTCTCATTTGAGTGAGGTTGGATGGCTTAATTCTAAGATGACAAGAATAAAAGAGGACAGATTCGTAAGTTGGCTCAAACCTAAAGTCACATTTCAGTGAGCTATTGAAGATTAAGAAGAGTTATGTAGCTTATCTGAAATGGCAACTAATCAAACTTGGGTGGATCATACTGGGCTCTGGAGTTGATTATGTCTTTAAACCACTGCTGTTCAGAACTTTAGGTAGGTCACAGAGCCTTTTCTTCACGTGGAACGGGCCCATCTTCGTCCAGGGCCGCAGTGGCTCCGGTGCACTTAGAGTCACCCTGGGGAACTTTCAGAAATGCCTGTAGGACCCCAGCATCCATCGTTTAAAAGAAGTTCTCTGGACACTTTCCACGGGGTATGATTTTGCTCCCAGAGAACATTCGGCAATGTCTGGAGACATTTTTGTCGTTGTTGTCACACCTTTGGGGGCATGGGGGGAGGGTGCTACTGGCGCCTGGTGGGTAGAGGCAGGGGTACTGCTAAACATCCTACAGGGCACAGGACTGTCCACACCACAAGGGATGATCCGGCCCCAGATCCGGCCCCAAATACGGCAAGTTTGAGAAACCCCGGTCAGATCCGGCCCCAAATACGGCAAGTTTGAGAAACCCCGGTCTAGACTAATAAAAACACTCATTGTATTTCCTGACCACACCCAACAGATGGCCAAGCCTGTGGGGTGGGACAGTGGGACCTCTGCTCTTTAACCCACAGTACGGGACACATGGGTGTTCAGGCTGAGGGTGTTTCATCCTGCTGGGAATTCCCACAAGGCAGCCACGGTTCCCTGCCCTCTGTGAAGAAAGGGTTTGCTGAGCTCGTTATGGAATAAACAAAGCTCAGCAGGCAGCAGGCACGTTTAGCCCACCTAGGAAAGCATGTTTGGGAAAAGGGCCATAGTATATTTATACAGGAATGAATGTTGCTAATGACCAAGTCACTCCTTGAAGTAGGTCCTTTGAACCTCTACTTAGAATAACGGTTAATTACTAGAAAAGGAAACGTTTGTTTGGAAGTAAAAGGTACTTATTTTCAAAATGTCTCTAATTCAAACTAGCCTTTTCCATAATTAATTCCTATTACGGTGGTTTTATAGTGTTGTCAGCAGCAGGAAACTGGAGCTCTCCCGTGGGACACAGACACCAAGCGCTGGAGGCCGGAGCTGAACGTAAGCACTGTTTACGTTTGCTGAGTAATAGATCAGGCTGGTTCCCGCCAGGGGCCCAGGCAGCAAGCCTGATGGATCATCTAGTCCCAGTGAAACATCTGCTACCTGTGCCAAGGCAGGCACCTCGTGGCTTTGCCGGCTCCGAAAGTGAGTGTGCTAGGTATTAGCTGGACTGCTGGCCGGGGCCCCCTTGGGTATCCAGAGTGACCCCTTCCCCAGCAGGATGGGTCCTGCTTACATGATCGCAGCACTGTCTGCCTTGTCTCACTCTCTTGGCCCTGGACTTGGTAGCGTTGTCTTCCTTTTGGAGTGTTCTTGATGTTCTTGGTGCCTCTAGCACACGGCTGTCAATGGTGGTGGCAGGGGAGACTTAGCTGGGTGTCCTGGCAGGGGCCCATGTCTGACTCTCAGAGCTACTTTCAAGCAGGCAACAAAGATGTTCGATTGGAGCCCATCTGGCTAGAGGGAGTGAAATGCAAGAAGGTGATGGGTTCCCACAGGAGCCTGTCTGGGGCTTACCGGTTTCTGGAATTCTATTTTCTGGAGTCATCAAAATCTTCACGAAAAAATTAGCTGGGTGTGGTGGCACATGCCTGTAGTCCCAGCTACTTGGGAGGCTGAGGCAGGAGAATCATTTGAACCTGGGAGGCAGAGGTTGCAGTGAGCCAAGATGGTGCCACTGCATTCCAGCCTGGGCAACAAGAGCAAAACTCTGTCTCAAAAAAAAAAAAAAAAAAATCTAGTAAGTTCCAGAGTGGGTTTTTAAAATTATTATTATTTATTTATTTATTTTTTGAGACGGAGTCTCGCTCTGTCACCCAGGCTGGAGTGCAGTGGCACGATCTCAGCTCTCTGCAAGCTCCGCCTCCTGGGTTCACGCCATTCTCCTGCCTCAGCCTCCCGAGTACCTGGGACTACAGGCGCCTGCCACCACACCTGACTAATTTTTTTTTAATTTTTTTTTGTTTTTAGTAGAGACGGGGTTTCACTGTGTTAGCCAGGGTGGTCTCCATCTCGTGACCTCATGATCCGCCCACCTCGGCCTCCCAAAGTGCTGGGATTACAGGCGTGAGCCACCGCGCCTGGCCTATTATTTCATTTTAAAAGAAGACTTATTTGTAATATTTTTCTGGGAAGTCCCATAAGAAACAACTTGTCAAAAGTGGATATTGTCAAGACTATGAGGGAATTTTGATGTGTGTGGTTTTGTTTTGTTTTGGGGTTTTTTTTTGGTTTTATGTGTTTGCTGATAATGTGGTTTAAGTATAAGCAAATGGTTTCACTGTTTAATTCATTTCTCGTTTGCCTTCTTGTTGTTCATCGTTTATAACTATAGTTCTTTTGGGGCAGAGTCTTAGATAAGTGACCAATGGGAGGGTGGTGAGGAAAGCCAACGGCAACTTTGATGATGAATCTCATTTTTAACAGCAGTTTTTGCGAAGCTGAAATGACCTTTGACAGCAGAAGGTTACCAGGCAATTTACAGACTGAGGATGTATGGATCATCTTACTGAAAAGAAGTTTTTAAGTCTTCAGAAGGCATTTTCTCCTTGAGTACGGGGAAGCAACGACACACAGCAGCCTTTCTTTTGCGATCTGTTTGAATCTATATAGCAAACACAGTGGTCTAGTCTTATAGTTCAAAATTATGTGGGGAAAATACTGCACCAGGCATGTCCTGAGCAGTGTGTTAACATTCAGATGTTTATTGAGCTGATACTTTGTGCACAGCACTGTGCTGGGAGCTGCAGGAGACAGGGAGGATGGATCTGTGAGTGTGCTTGGAGAACAGGTGGTCCCAGGAGACAGAGGCGGGGCCAAAATAGCCTGGCAGAGCGGTGCACGGTGCATGGAGATAGGGAAGAGAGAGTTGGGAATCCCTGGGATGTGCGCCCTGTAACGGGAAGGAGCGGGAGAAGACACTTATTTCAGTTAGGAGGAGAGAATGGCACAAGACTGCGAAGAGTTTGAAAGCTTGAGGGGTCAGTCAGGATGCTGCAAGTAGCAGAAAACCCTGCATCAAACTTGCTTTAAAAAAATACAGAAGGGCCCGGGCACAGTGGCTTACGCCTGTAATCCCAGCACTTTGGGAGGCCAAGGTGGGCGGGTCACCTGAGGTCAGGAGTTTGAGACCAGCCTGACCAACATAGTGAAACACCATCTCTACTAAGAATACAAAAAATAGCTGGACGTGGTGGCGGGCACCTGTAATCCCAGCTACCCGGGAGGCTGAGGCAGGAGAATCGAACCTGGGAGGCAAAGATTGCAGTGAGCCGATATCACACCATTGCACTCCAGATTGAGACTCCGTCTCAAAAAAAAAAAGTATAGATGACATTTCTGGAAGTCCAGAGACAGGACGGGCTGCAATCTCCAGTTCTTTCTAGTTCTCTTCTAGGTCATCCTCTGCCCTGGCTTCATTCTCACGCTGTATTAGCTTGCTGGGCTGTGTAACAAATACCACAGAAATGTATTCTGTTACAGGTTTGGAAGTTGGAGGTCCTAGATCCAGGTGTGGGCAGGGTCAGTTTCTCCTGAGTTCTCTCTCCTTGGCTTGCAGATGGCGTCTTCTCCCTCTGTCCCCACGTGGTCCTCCCTCTGTGTGTGTCTGTGTCCTCATCTCTCCTTGTAAGGACACCAGTCACCTTGGATTAGGGCCCGCCCTAGAGACCTTACTTTAACTTTAATCATCTCTGTAAAAACCCTATTTCCAAACAGGGTCACATTTTGAGGTTCTGGGGTTTGGATTCCAGCATATCTTGTTAGGGGCAGGGTGGACACACTTCAACCTGCCCAGGGTCCCTTCAGGGAGAAGGGAGGCAGTCGCATCTCTGGAGCATGGGCTGAGTGTGTTCTCATGTCACTTCTGCAGTAAGTGGGCTTTCCGTCCAGTCTGTCTGTTGTAAATCAGATGTGCAAGTGAGGGCAGCTGCCAGAACTTCCATAGGAGTTGGCTGCCGTGTTCACAATCCAGGTGGTGACAGAAGGCTGCAGGTACTAGAGGGAAGGGCAGGTCCCACCACTGCAGGAGAGGTAGCTGGGAACAGGGGTGGGAGTGTGGGTCCCCATCATAGGGGAGGAGGAGGGAAAGGAAAGGGGGAAAAGGGAGACGGAGAGGGGAAGGGGAGCAGGGATGGTGGAAGAGAGGGGAAGTGGGGAGAAACAGGAGGAAGAGATGAGGAAGGGAGAGGGAAGGGAGGGGAGGAAGAGTTCATTGCTGCAGGTTGGCTGGGCTGAGTGTTTTACAGATGCCGTGGCTGAATCCTGACAGCCCCCTGAGAAGTTGGCTTCTCTGTGGCTTATAGCTAAGCTAAGCCACCTGCTGGAGCTGAGATTTGGACCCCAGCAGCCTGAATCCCAGCCCCTGCACACTGCCCCTCTGGGTAGGGGACTTCCAGCATGGGTCCTTCACTCCCAGCAGCCGCTTCCAGCACCCTTGTTGCCTGGGTTCTCCGCCCAGGTTTCTATGGAGCAGTGTGGATGGGTTGGGGCTGTTTTTCTTGCCTTTGATATAGTGACAGTCAGACTCCTGTTTGGAACTGACAGGCAGCCCATAAGCACACCTGCTAAGAACCTCAGGCCTTGACATAGCATCTGTGGGAAACTTTCACATCTCTTTTCTGAGTTCTTGGCCTAGAGATCTATTTCCTAAGCACAAGGGAGGATACGATCAAATGCCCCCTCTCCTGGAGGTTGATCCAGGCATTGCGGTTATTCCGTTGGTGGATTGGCCACACCCCTCGCGTCTCCTCCGTTCTGCTGCCTGACCTTGTGCTGTTGGAGGAACAAAAAATTGATGCTCCTCGCAATCCATCAGATATTTCTGCCCTGTCTTTGGACCCATTTTAAATAATTTCACAGATTTTTTTTTTTTTGAGATGGAGTCTTGCTCTGTTGCCCAGGCTGGAGTGCAGTGGCGCGATCTCTGCTTGCTGCAACCTCCACCTCCCAGATTCAAGCGATTCTCCTGCCTCAGCCTCCTGAGTAGCTGGGACTACAGGCGGGTACCACCATGCCCCGCTTATTTTTGTATTTTTAGTAGATATGGGATTTCACCATGTTGGCCAGGCTGGTCTCGATCTCCTGACCTTGTGATCCACCCGCCCTCCCAAAGTGCTAGGATTGCAGGCATAAGCCACCGCACCCAGCTCTTTATTTATTTATTTATTTATTTACAGAGTTTCGCTCTGTCGCCCAGGGTGGAGTACAGTGGCGTGATCTCAGCTCACTGCAATCTCCGCATCCCGGGTTCAAGTGATTCTCCTGCCTCAGCCTCCCAGGTAGCTGGGATTACAGGCATGCACCACCACACCTGGCTAATTTTGTATTTTTAGTAGAGATGGGGTTTCACCATGTTGGTCAGGCTGGTCTCGAACTCCTGACCCCAGGTGATCCATCGCCTCGGCCTCCCAAAGTGCTGGGATTACAGGGGTGAGCCACTGTACCCAGCTTTCACAGATTTTTTAAAGTGGAGGCATAATGACCACATAGTAAAATGGACAGATGTTAAGTGTATAGCTTAGTAGGTTTTGACTTGTATATATGCCCATCAACCACCCCCTAAATTAAGGTATTTCCTTCACCCTAGTGAATTCTCCAGTCAGCCCACCCCTTAGGCAACCGCTGCGTTAATATCTATCCCCATAGCATGGTTTTGCCTATTCTGGAAGGTTATATGAAGGAGGCCTGTGGTCCGCCGTGTCAGTCTCATCCCTGGATTCCTGAATGGTACTGTGCACATTGATAGTTGTTCCTGTTTGTTGCTGAGCCATATTCCACTGCATGGGTAGACAACACTGTGTTTCTCTCTCCATTGGTGATGGACGCAGGGTTGTTTCCAGCCTGTGGTGATTATGCTTAGACTGCTGTGCCCATTATAAGCTGAACATTGTCAATCCTTTCCACTCCTGGCTACCCCTCTGTTCTAATATTTAAAAGTTGATTGGCAGAATCAGGGCAGCCATTGAAAAGTCTTGACTTATTTATAAGCTAGGCAAGTTTCCTCTTTTTCTTTTCAAAATTTTTGGGGTAGGAAGCAGGAGTGATGGGAGGAGTGTGGGGAGGGGGTTACCATTTGTTAGGGGCAGGGATCCCTGGCCCTAGAGAGTTGTGGCCCCTGTGTGGCCCTACAGCTTCTGGGACTCACTCCCTAGGGCTGATAAGGAGGCCGTGGGAATGGTGCTAGTACCATTTGGGCAGGGAGAAGCCACCTAGAGGTGGCACTACCAGTCAGCTGCTGTTTGTGTCCCAAGGGTGACTTAGCAGCTGTTCTGAGGAGTTTCCTCCTGTCCGTGCAGCATGTGAGAGTGGCTTTGGCAGCCAGGCCCTCCCGCCTCTCTGTAGGCATCTCTTGCATGTGAGCGTTTGATGAAGACCTATTTATCCTCCCTTTTTGTAAGAATGACCTGGGCAAGCCTTTTGAGTGAAACTCAAATGAAACAGGTGGGGCCTCTGCTGTTACCCAGCCCACAGCCAGCTGCAAAGAGCCACAAAGCCCCAGCTTGTAGGGTTTCAAGCCAAGGAAGGGAATTATCTTCTGATGGAACCTGCTCTGCAGAATTGTACGTTCCCTTCACAAGGTTCCGGAGGCCACTGGGGAAGTATCTCCCAACAGGGATGAGTTAGTGAGAGAAGGAGGGCCAGGCCTCCTGATTTGCCTGCTCCTTGCTAAAAACCTTAAAAAGAGCAACGAACTGTAGGTGGGCATTTCCACCATATTTAAACATATGAAAAGTTCAGTGCTTTTCCTAAGATTTTCCCAGGGCTTCAAGTTTGCCAGCCACTCTGCACTTCATCAGGAAGCATGTTTGTGCTTGCGTGCGTGTGTCATCCTGAGACGAACTGCATTCCTCTGAAAGCAGGTTAAACAACTGATGGTGTGCTTTTATTAGGATAACAGTTTAGAAATTTGAAGCCCCCAAATGTTCTGCATAAATGATGCATTTGTCATGATGGCTACTGAAATTACTGAGCCAAAGCGGAGAGCTAGAAGGAGACGCGTTCCTGGAAGTCCTCCCTCTGCCTGGTTTTACAGTGAGCTGAAGAGCAGTTGTACACAACAGCAAGGAAGATTGGTTCCTTTAGGTTCTGCAAAAGCAATTTCAGAATTCGGGGAAAAAACATTAAACATTTATTTTAAACTTAGGCTTCTTCAAAGTCTCACAGCCAGCCTACCCTCAAAGCCTGAGTGATTGTGGAAGGAGCCAGCGTTCACTCAGCAGAGGAACAGAGCTTTCCTGCCGCAGGCTCTCAGTGAAGATCCAGGGAGCAGAGGCGTGGGCAAGGAGCACTGGGCTCAGATGCAGGAGAACCGGTTTGAACCCTAGCACTACCGCCTCTACACTGAGGAACCTTGGGGATTACTCAGCCCCCTGGAACCTAATTTCCAAGGTAGAGATGACACCTATAGCATAAAGCTTTGTGGGGATTACAGAAAATGATGGATGTGCCGCTCCCTTTCAGCAGAGTGTGTGCTTTGAGATACGCATTTAATCTGAGCCCTTTTCTGCAAAGAGCTCCCAGTGGAGCTCAGAGGACAGTCATGTAACCAACAACTACAATGCATTATACAACCACCTGCAATCCCCCAACCATTAACTCTAGACCTCTAAAACAGAAGTATGGAAGCTCATAGGAAATGACCGAGGTCAGCCCTGGCAAATGGCGGTCTTTGTGGTCCCCAGCTGGCCACCTGAGCTGTGGACACGTTTGTTTGCCTTGTGCCCTCACTTTCAGAACCCCTCCTCCTTTGGCCTCATATTGTCCCTAGCTATTTGACATCTCCTCATTTAGGAGTGCTTCTCAGGTGCTCTCAAATGACCTCTTTTTCAAAATTTCCTCTCTATTCCTACTTTCCAAAACCAAAATATCTGGGCAGCTAATTTTAGCTAAGAGATGAAAGCAGTTCACACTAAGGTACGAAGGACTGATAGGATTGACCCTACTCTTTCTGAGCTCATCCATAACTTCAACCTGTTAATTGAGGACTGGCCAATAGCCCACAAACTTCATGCCCACCCATAGATGGTTTTGAAAGGCTGAACCTTTAACAGCCCTCCCTCCCTTTCTCCCTTCCCTGTCCCCTGCAGAGCCAGGCTTAGGAATTTGGTCCTCCTTTTCTGTGATCCTTGATCAGGATATTTCTAACAACAGTAGCATCAACCGAAAGCCCCAAATAAGGTTTGATTGAGTTAACATTTTCATTGCATTTTAAGTCTAGTCCTGATTAACATTCCACTCTGTGACATGGGTGCAGGGTGTGTCCTCACAGGACCTGCCCCCACGCCCATCTCACTCAGTGTCCAGTCCAGGTGCAGGTATCCCTCCTGGAAGCCTCCCTTGAGCCTGCCCCACATTTTTAAACCCTCACACATGCTGTGTTTTCTTTTTCTTTCTTTCTTTTTTTTTTTTTTTTTTTGAGACGGAGTTTTGCTCTTGTTGCCCAGGCTGGAGTGCAATGATGCAATCTCGGCTCACCACAACCTCCGCTTCCCAGGTTGAAGTGATTCTCCTGCCTCAGCCTCCCAAGTAGCTGGGATTACAGGTGCGTGCCACCACACCCAGCTAATTTTGTATTTTTAGTAGAGACGGGGTTTCTCCATGTTGGTCAGGCTGGTCTCAAACTTCCCACCTTAGGTGATCCACCCACCTCAGTCTCCCAAAGTGCTGGGATTATAGGTGTGAGCCACTATGCCTGGCCATATGCTGTGTTTTCTAACACAGACAACTCCTTTCCACTCCCCTCCAGCCTCATCCCTTCTGGTCTTCCTGGCATGGATAAGGCTGGCCGGGGCACACTCATAGCACCTTCTGTGTGTCTGCTGCCGCTACTCTTTACCCCTCAGCATAGTCCTTTCTTAAGCCTGCCCCAAACTCTAAAGAGCGAGGACAGCACTTTTTGCATTATTGTTTCCTTGGGGTGTGGCACTCAATACGTGACCAATAAATAGTCATGGAACACTGAGACTGTGGCACTGGTCTGCAGTCCCTCCTGGGGCCTGGCCCACAATACTGGGGACTGGGTGGTGGCACAAAGGAAGAAAACGTATTTACACAAGGCCAGGACGTAAGAGCTTGGGGTGGCCTGCCTTGAACATGTGAGAAGTCAAGGGGGTTGGTGACTGAGGGAGGGGGGCAGTCTGGTCACTCTTCCTTTTGGCGGGCAATGTCCTTTGATCCTTTCACCCATGGACAAGCTTGGGGAGAAAGGACGTCTCACTGCCAGCGGAGACGAGATGTCAGATAGAGAGGCCTGCACCTTGGAGATTTTCTCGCGAATATAACCTGTAAGACAACTGTGCTTTCTGCTGCCTAATCCAGGATTCTCTTCAGAGTGCTCTGCCATCCATGTTTAAGTTAATTGGGATACTGGCTAGCCCATTTCCTGAAGATAACACTTTCTTTAAACTTTTTTTTGTGTGTGCGTGTGGGAAAATGTACATAACATAAAATTAACCATTTTAAGTGTATAGTTCAGTGTAAGCCATTCACATTGTTGTGCAACCATCACCACCATCCATCTCCAGATATTTTTCATCTTCCCAAGCTGAAGCTATATCCCCATGAAACTATAACTCATCCCCACTCACCCCAGCCCCTGGTAACCCCCATTCTACTTTCTGTGTCTATGAATTTAACTACTCCAGGCACCTCGTATCAGTGGAATCATACCATATTTGTCTTTTAGTGATGGCTTATTTCACTTAGCATGTCTTCAAGGTTCATCCATGTGTAGCATGTGTCAGAATTTCCTCCCTTTTGCAGGCTAAATAATCCTCCATCATGTGCATGCACCACGTTTTGTTTCTTTGTTCATCCGTCAGTGAACACTTGAGTTTCTCTCAGCCCTTGGCTACTGTGAATAGGGCTGCTATGAACATGGGTGTACATATCTTTGTATGTCCCTGCTTTTGCTTTTGGGGGGTCTACAGACTATTTTTTAAAGGATAACATAGTGTAAATCATCGCCTGCATACTTCCTAATCGGCTTGGGCTAATGGACTTGGGCTAATGGAGCAACTGTCCTTCCGCAGAGAGGTGGGGACATGCAGGGCAGTGATTTGTTCTCAAGGAAGTGGAATTTTACACAGTTGACTGCTTCTTGTTGTGGTTGACCTTTTGCAGATCATTTCCTTAGAGTTTTCAATGTTTGTCCATATCTTACCAATTAGCAGTTATAAACTCTTGAGAAGACAGGAAAATAGTTATTTTTATTTTCTTGGATTAAAGGCAGAAAAACATTCCTCTGGTTCTTGTGAACATCCATTGATGTGCACGCATATCCCCCCTCTCTTCCTTCAGGTAGATTGTCAGGGGTGACAGGACTGTTGTACCCCAGCCTTTAAAATCCCAGAATTTCCACGTGTTATAATTTTGCACTGTGTTCACATATTAGGTCATGCAGGGCAAACAAAATATACATGGCAACATCTCTCCTATTCTGCAGCCCAGACATGCCCTTGAAAGTGTGTAGGAGGGAGAGGGTTTCCGAAGCCAAATACGTTTGAAGAGGGGGCTACAGAGCCCCCTCTTCAGGACTCATGATGCACATTAACATGCTAAAGGCTCTGAGAAGTCCTGAAAATGAGACACCAGCTTGACTTTGTTTCACTGAATGTTATCGCTAATTAGCCAGTTACTCCCTTTTTTAGATGAACACTTATTGTTACCCTTTTAGGCATGCTGCCTTCAAAAAAAGCTTCAACTGCTGGCTTAGAAGTGGGTGTGTCTTTCAAATGCAGCTAGACAGGGAGGAGAGTCCAGTTGTGAAGGGCTTCCTTATTGGATCGTTAATTTTATTAATATATTTTTACGTTGTCTTTTGCTGTCTATTTGCCTTTGAGTGAGACAGAAGGAAGAATTGGGGAATGCTGAATGGATCAACTTGACTGTCCTGTGGCAAGCTTTGTCAAGCCCGCTCTGCTGCATCAGTAGTGAATGGAGAGAATTATTTTGGCAGGGCTGGGATGGAGTTCAGGTGCCCTGGCTTGTTACGCAAAGCCAAGCCCATGAAGCCCGAGACACTGATTGCAGTTAGTACTACAGCAGAAGGGCCTTCTCATGTTCATCCCTGGAGTTCCCCCAAAAGTTCACACCCTCCAAGTCCTGTAATTCCAACTCCACAAGTAACAGAAGGATGTCCCCTCAGGAGCTGGCCATCCGAGGCCTGTCACCAATATTAAAACACTGTACCACTCTGAGCAGCCTGGAGGGTGAGGAGGGGCAGGAAGGTCTCTGATAAGAGACTCTGGTGAGGGCCGCGACTTGGGCAGCTTTGCAGCCTCCTTGGCATGAGAGGGTCTCTGCTCCCTTTCTCTGTCCACTTACTGAGGCTTGAGTTGTGACATGTGTTCTCTACTCCTTTCGCTGTCCCATACGCATCTGGCCAGGCCCCGGTGAGTTCTCAGGGTAGTGATCCTGGCTTTGGCCTAAGGATGCTTTGAGGTTCTATCTGAGGAAACTCTTAGAGAGCTGCCTCTCAGTCCGCTTGTCCCCAGGATGCCGGAGGCACTGAAGTGGAAGGTCGGGAGCCTTCCTGGCTCACCCCACCTCGGGTGCAGCCGACCTTCTTCCTCTCCCGACCAGAGGGCGGGGGCCGGGAGCCAGCCTGCACAGTCACACTCTGCTGTCATGCTGCCAGTTTGGCACGGTGTTTTTAGAAGATTAATAGTTAGTTCAAAGGAAGAAAATAAAAACACACTCTTGGGTGTAATCGTGTTGTCAGCTTTTGAGAACCATCCTACTTTTTTTTTTCTTTTGGTCAGAAAAATAGTATATTTAAGGAATGATTGCAGGAAGTGTTGGAAACGAAGCTGTTGCTGTTCCCAGGATGCTGCTGAGGAGGTCAAAGTGAAGGGCACGGCATCCTGAGAGGTGGTGGGAGGACCTGAAAGCACGGTAGAGCCCCGGGTAGACCTGGACCTGCTCCTCCTTCAGCATCTCCCAGCTATGAACACAGCTGCTCCCTGGAGGGCGTCTTCCATCCTCGTCTGGCCCACTTTCTAATCTGGTGCTGACTATGCAGACAGGATGTAAAACTAGTAAAATACCCCTTAATTTGGGTCAGTTAGGGGTGAGGCTAAAATGAATAGCTCAGACTCTAAGTAATCAAAACCCTTTTTGAAGTAGTTTTATTACTCTCAGATCCAAAATGTTACTTACCAACAGACATAAGCCCCCGAGGACCTGCTTAACTGACAGACAAAATTAATGAGTAATAATCACTTTGTGCCGGTTACTGCACCAGGCGCATTCCCGATGTTATTTTTGACTCTTGTAACAACCCTCTGGTGAAGGTTTTGCGACTCCTACGTCATAGATGTTAAAACTGAGCCCCCACACGGTGAAAAAGCTTGCCCTGATGACCGCGGGGCGAAACTAGAAATAAAACTGGGGCTTATCAGGCTCAAACTCCGAGCTCTTAGCCTGCATCCCAGCTGTGCTTGACAGCACATTCGCAAGCTGGCTCAGACCCCACTTTAGGCTCTGAATTCCATGCTACCAGGCTCTCGCTTACCATGCGATGCCCTTCCTCAGAGACAGTGGTAAGCCAGAGTCCAACCCAATGAAGACAAAGTCCAAATGGGTAAAAACCTGAAGGATTATGCTGTCCTGTAGCAGCAGTCACACCTACTACAGCTGAGAACTACTATAGTTGAGTAACTTTGGGATGTGGAGTAGGCCCAGGGCAGCCTCCAGCTTTGTGTACCTTGTTTGTAGCTGGTTGGTGTTAGCTGTTTTCATGGAAAAGGTCATCATTTAGATCCACGGTTGTACTGGCTTCTAGTTTGAGCTAAATAAAGCAAGAAAAAAAAAGAGAAAGAAAGAAAAAGGCATCATGTCATCTTCAAGATGGTTACACCAGTGTTGAAACAGGAGAAAAACTGGTTTACCATCTCAGGTACTCTGATTCATATGTTACAGAAAAAGATGAGTATTTGGCAGGAAGCCTAAGAGTAGGTCTCAATTAAAATGTTAATTTTTTTTTTTTCCTAATCCTTCCTGTTGTAAGAGTTTGGGACTAGAATGAAGGTAGTACCACCACACTGACCATTAGATTAGCAGTTGTCCTGGCTTGGCAGTAATTGACTTGTGAAATTTGTTGGGAGAGTCATGCGTCCCTGTGCATCAGGTCACCCTGTCTGAAAATGACATTTTCCACGGCAGTCTGGTATGGAGCAGCTGAGCCCAAGGAAACCTGGGCTCTGCTCAAGTCTGACTTGGCTATAAGCTTTTTTAATTCTGAATGAGTCACTTCACCTCTTATTCAGTTTCTTTGTTTTTAAAATAGGGAGTTGATCATAACTTTTTTCAACATTTCAGTACTAAAAATTCTATTTAAAAAAGATACTGTGATATTAGTATCTTAAACAGCCATCATGTATCAAATATCTGCTATTCACAGACCCCTGACAAATTATTATTTGTTTAGTCACTGTAACAATGAAATAACACCGAAGCCTGTCCTGTTTTCAGTATGCTACTTTGCTTCTATATGCACATAAAGTGTATTGAATATTTGTCCAGACAAATGCTATAACCTGTAACAAATTAATATAAACCAGAGAATTGTATTTATTTGTATGAACTAGGGCTGTTTCTTTGAGTTTACTGGGGGAAAGAACCTGAGTTTCAATCAGATACAGATTTATAATTTATGTAAGAGACACTTGATCTTGGACTAGCATCACTTCTCAGCCTCAGTTTCTTCATCTGTGAAATGGACATACTGGTAATAATGTCCATGCAATGGGCCTGTTGTGCTGTCAGGGTGCTTAGTCAAAGCAGCTGGCAGAGTCCCTAGCACAGGGTAGATACTTAATGAATCTTAGTTTCCTTTCTTCACCTAGAACAATGCTTAATTTAATGTCATAGATTTGTTCTATTAAGAGATAATTATTCGGCCGGGTGCGGTGACTCATGCCTGTAATCCCAGCGCTTTGGGAGGCCGAGGTGGGCGGATCATGAGGTCAGGAGATTGAGACCATCCTGGCTAACACGGTGAAACCCCGTCTCTACTAAAAATACAAAAAATTAGCCGGGCGTGGTGGCGGGCGCCTGTAGTCTCAGCTACTCGGGAGGCTGAGGCAGGAGAATGGTGTGAATCTGGGAGGCGGAGCTTGCAGTGAGCTGAGATTGCACCACTGCACTCCAGCCTGGGCAACAGTGAGACTCCATCTCAAAAAAAAAAAAAAAAAAAGAATTATTCATTGTTTTAAATAAATTTTTCATATACCCAATTTTCTACTGGCTTTTATAATAAAACTAGAAATATCTTTCCCTGGAGGAAAATTACCAATAGAGAAAAGTTTGGTGGAAACATTTAAAAACTATATTGCCTATATAAATTTGGTATAATAATTATGTATTAATTATTTAAATTAAATTATACTTGAAAAATAATCACAGAAAGAGGCTTAAGAAGATAAATAGCAGAGCACAGTGAACACGGGTGGACACGGGAGCATTCTGACTTCTGGGAGGGTCATTCCTACCTGACGTTAACACTCTGCCCCTCCCTCATTCTGAGCATTAGCTTAGGCATGAAGGAATAAGACATGGTCCCTTTCTTCAAGGAACTTGCAGCCTAGTGCAGGAGTCAGCAAAATTTTTCTAAAAAGGGCCACATAGTAAATATTTTTGGCTTTGCAGGCCATGTGGGCTCTGTTTCAGTTGTTCGACTCTGCCGCTGTAGTGCAGAATCCGCTGCAAATGAATATATGAATGAAGGAGCACGGCTGTGTGCCAATAAAACTTTATTTACAAACACAGACAGCAGGGCTGTGTTTGGCCTGTGGGCTACAGATTGCCACCCCCTGAGCTAGTGGAAGAAAGACTTGTAAACAGGCAATTATGATATATTGTAAGAACAGTCTACGTGTTTTATCATGAGTACAGGATGCTTCAGAGGCACAGATCTCCTGATCCGGTCTTGGGAGAGGATACCCCTCAATGGAGTTTATTAAACTTTATAGAAATAGAGAAGCATTTTCATTTGTAATTTTGTACCCCTTTCCCTTTTCACTTGGTTGTGTGCTTGCGAAAGTAATATGTGTTGCTTGAAAGAAAAAATGCGTGCAGTACAGAAAATCGGCCATACTTTGACTGACAGGTGACATACAATGTCAAATCATTTTGGTTGTGGTGAGGTTTGTCCTTTAAAGCAGGCATCAAGCCAGAAAAGTTGGAGTGGGAGAATGAGGGTGTTGTGGGAGTGGGGCACAGAAGAGCAACATGGGCCAAGGGCATGGAGGCTCTGGGGAGCTGTGAGCACTTTGGCAAGGCTGGGTCATGGCAGGGGTTGGGGCAGGAGGTAGTGATGAGAGAGGTAGGTGGGGGCAGCCACCCCTGGCTCTCTTCCGGAATTGATGGCAGCCAGTTTGTACATGGGAAGAATAGAAGGTGACAGGTGACTCCAGCCATAAAGGGAATGTAACAGGGTCCTGTTACAACAAGGCCATAGCCTGCGGCTGTGGGAAGCCACTGAGGCATTTGTTTTCAGCAAGTGGAAGATGGCTTTCCTTCACCCTCCAAGTTCTCTCCAGGATGGATCACCTGGGTCGTTACAGTCTTCTCATTTCAGAGATCCCCTGAGGCTCCCAGCAGAAGTTCCCCACCACTGGCTCTCTTCCGGAATTGATGGGGACATCTTAAATGTTAATGCTACAGTCCGGCTCTGTTGACACACTGTGTTATACTAGAAAATACCCTCCAGTAACACTTGAAACAACTTTTGAATTTCTCAAGTTAACAGTCTTCAAGTTATTTCATATAAATGAGTTGCTAGAAGCCTGTGTGCTGACTTCTTGCAGGGCATTAATAGCTGCTCCCTTTTGATGCTAAGGGATCTGTGGGGTTCCTTCCTTCCTCCCTCCCTCCCTGCATTCCTCCCCACTCCCTCCTTCCTTTTTAACTTACAGGGCTTACTCTTAATTTCCTTTCTTAGAGGTAGTTGATGAGGGCCGTTAATAAAATACACAGTGCAGAATTTGGAAAGACTCTTCAAGGTTTTGGTAGCTAAAAGGGCATTGCTTATTAATTATCTCTGCTGCTTTGTGGGTATCTATTCAGCTTCCCCAAATGCCATCGGGGCCCTGTACAAAACGAATAAGAACGTTCAATAATGCAAACCTCTGCTGAGAAAGATGTACCTCCCTATTTCCTTCAAGAAAAAGTAAAAGAAACAAACAAAGAAAAGTGACTCATTGTATTTTTCCCTCAGAGATAATCCTACACATCACTGAGGATGTGTTCAGGTGGTAATTTTTTCTGTTTTTCAAGTTCTACATCTCTAGCCCTTTAAAAATGATCAAATTCAGTGAGAACCAGGAAAGCCCCAGTGTCAGTAAATGAAGCAGTTTCTATTTCTCTCCCACCGGGAAGGCTGCACTGCGCAGAAGAGGAGCGGACAGTAGAGTTGTCATTTGAAGAAAAAAAGACAAAAAAAAAAATTGTTGCTTAAGGGTTCGAATGAATCGGAAATTACATTACTCATTAAAATGGGACTACGTGAAGTTTAAGAAATATGAGCAGCTTTAACGGTGTGGCTCTGGGGTGGGTTTCCTTAGAGAGGCTCAGAATGCAGGTCTGCTAGAGTTGGGGTGTATCTTCCATCCAGCAGGAAGGGTTTGCAATCTATTTTTGCCCCGGCTATTCCCCTCAATGTACCATGGTTATTATTTTAGCACTAAGGTAGAAAAAAGGAAAGATGAGGAGCAATTTGAGCAGCAATTAATATTCATTAAAGAACAGAGAAACAAAATTGAAAAGAGAAAAAATTTCCCCGGAGTACCCAAGGATGTTCATTATGTCATTCAAGGAAGCTTGCACCAATGCCAACTCTAATTGGCAGTTGTGTTGGCTACTGTTGACAGCAAACCTCCTAAAATTGGAGGATGAGCTTAGAGGCAAAAAGTAGAGAGTAATTTGAGGTTTTCAAGTCATGCAGTATATCTTGAGTTTTGATGGAATCTTTTAGGGGAAAAAAAATCTGTCAACTGTTAGATTTAAAATACTGAAAAACACATTTAGGTAGCATAGCCTCCCTAAATGTTGAGAAACTAATCGTAGCTAATGTGCTTCATCAGCCTGGCTTGTGGAGGGTGTTTCTTTTGTCCGTCTGTGACTCATCTTCCAGGGTGGACTCTGTGTGTGTGTTCTTGCCATTTCTATTGTCTGCAGTTAAGAAGTGCAGAGCACCGCACGTCCATGGTATATAAAACACTGGTTCATGAGAGGCTGCTGAAGCTCTGTTTTAGGGGGGAAAAATGCTGACCCTACATTTCTCTAAATTCCTGCGACCCAGTCAGGAACTTTGTTTTACTTAAGCTTTTGAAGTTTTAAGCAGTACTATCCTCTTTGTAGGGCTGAACAGAAATATTTTCTTTTATCTCAACTGACACTGCTCAGCTTTAAAACAGACAGTGTGCACAGCGATTGGTAAAACCCTCGTGGTTTGCTGATAGAACAATTTCAAATGGGGATCTCCACTACAAAAGATGAAACTTGGGGGAAAATTTTCATTCACTTCCCTAAAAAACACTTTTCGCTTTAGTCAGTGAGCATTAACGTGCTTAACCTTCAGGCTGTGAAGACGTGGTTTGTTCCCAGTCACTTTCAGAATAAGCTTCCTGTAGGCCTGATTTATAGGATTGTCTTAAAATACGTGTTTCCGAGAAGGCGAAAAGGTTTTTCCTTTGTTGGTTTGTTTTTTAATGATTTTGTCTTTGCCTCCCCACCATCGCTACCACTGTGGGAGTTTACATTATTTTTCCCTACATTTTTTTTCTGTCATTTGAGGGCTTATAGATTCATCGTAGAAAGTTTGGAAAAGTCAAGAAAAGTATAAAGTTGAAAATAAAACTCAGTCTTATTTCTACTCTTTAGAGATAGTCACTTTAAAATATTTTGGAATATTTTCTTTTAACTTTTCCTGCATATACAAACATCTCTTCTAGTCACCGTTTTTCCATTCTGAAGCTTTCATACAATTATATCATGAGCATTTTCCTCGATCATTCATTTTCAAAAGCGAAATTTTTAATGGCACTATGGTATCATTGACATTGAGTCAGGTTCTCAACTTTTGCTCTGATAAGTTACAAACAGTGAAAATCATTGCATAGAGACCTCTGTGGGTGTCTCTGATAATTTACTTGAGATAAAGTTCCAAGAAAGGGAATTGCTGGGATAAAGAGTAGACCCCATTTAAAGTAATGTGCTGCATATTGCCAAATTGTCTTCCAGAAAAACAGTGCCTAGTTTATGCTCCTTGTACAGATTTGTACCTCTTTGTTTCTCCTTCATCTTTAGAAATTTTTTTAAAATTTTCTTTTTGAAAAACAAAATATTGTCTTTTTTTTTCCTTTTCTTTTTTCTTTTTTTTTGAAACAATGTCTCATTCTGTCACCCAGGCTGGAGTGCAGTGGCGCAGTCTTGCTCACTGCAGCTTCTGTCTTCCAGGTTCAAGCAATTCTCATGCCGTAGGCTCCTGAGTAGCTGGGATTACAGGCATGCACCACCACACCCAGCTAATTTTTGTATTTTTAGTACAGGATTTCACCATATTGGCCGGGCTGGTCTAGAACTCCTGACCTCAAGTGACCCTCCCACCTTGGCCTCCAAAAGTGCTGGGATTATATGCGTGGGCCACTGCACCTGGCCGTCTTCATTAGTGAAATCAAACATTTCCCAAGTGTTTAACTATTTGTGTTTCATATATGGTTAATCATGTGGGCGCTTAACTCAATTTCTGGTTGCAGTATTGGTGTATATTGATATGTAAGTGGATATATATTACAAATTTAGGTCTTTATAATTTTGCTTATTGTATTTTTGATGTGTAGATTTTTAAAATAGTAATTAATAGTAAAGTAGTAATCATTAGACTGTTACAAAATCTACCAGTTGTTTCCTTAGGTAGTTTTTCCCCCTTAGTTTTTCTCTTTGGAGATTTTATCTTCACTTCAAAATTAAAGAAGCAATCTATTTGCTTCCAATTTTTTTATGTTCTTATTTTACATTTTATCATAGAATTCATTACTGTGGAAAATAAGGTTGTTTTCTTTATCTCCCATTTATTTTCCATCTTCTTTAGAAATTTTCTGAGTCTCCTTGATGAATGTTTCTCCACTCTGGCAAGTCAAGCAATTGAATTATTCCTTTCAAAATAATATTAATGGTATTTTCTTTAGCTTATCCTTAAACTATATAGGTTCTCTGACTCCACAGTTTTTGGTTTTTTTTTTTTTTTTCTCATTTTGCTAGAACACATAGCAACTAACGTGTGTGAAATGTAGACACACTCTGGAGTCATTTGTCTCACCACTTAGTCATGGCTCAGAAGCGTCACATGGCATCATCATGAATGTCCCTGGTCTTGGAAAAATGACAAAGCAAGCAAGCCTAAGATTATGAAATGAGGCTGTGACTTTAGTGCTTTTATGATCTTGTTAAACCTGCTGATGAGGTGTTAACAAGCTTAATTAAAGGATGCTTTTCATTGTTCTGTAGGGAATGGATTTGAGGGAGGTTAGAGTTAATGCAGAGAGACTCTTGTATTAGTTCAGGAGAGGGAGGATGGATGGTGACTTGGCCTTATCTTGTCTGCTTACCCCCTGCAAATTCCATCCCAAGGAAATTTGACCAGAGAACAAGGTTCAATTTGCAAATGACAGAAGCCACTCTGGTATTTCAGGAGATAGGGACTGAATACAGGGAATAGTGCTTACTGAGTTGCTAGAGCAACTGTAAACGGGCCTCTGGAAGGATTCCTGGCAGAGCTAGCCTGTCCAGGGAACTGTGCCTCCATTAGGAGGCTGAAGAATTAGAAGGTCACTGTCCCAACCACTGGTTCCAAGATCACACCTCCTTAGCCACCTCCAGAACTGTTGGCTCCCAGACCACCCAACCCTTGCCAGAGCTGACCAGCAAAATGGATGCCTCCCTTCCTCCCCTCTGAACTCTCTTCCTAACTCAGGTCAGCCGGAAATTCGAACAAGGTTGCACACAGAAAGTTATTTTGGGGTGTGCACCTGATTGGCAGGACCAAAATCACATTTGAAACCATAGGTATACCAGAATCTGGAAGTATGATTTTTGGCCTCCCAGCCCACACTATAGGAAGCCCACACCAGAAGGAGACTGGAATCACATGAGTGAGCGCCTGCCCCATCCCTATAAATCGGGGTGTCTGTGGGGGCAATGGAGCACGGATGGGATGTTCAGGATATATGTGAAAGGCAGAACCTGCTGGAATTGGTGATTGATTTGATGGGGAGGGAGGTGACTAGGGTAACGTCAGAGACAAAACCCGTTACATTCAGTTCTGGTTTTGTACTTTTTATAACGTTACTCCTGTTATATATTTCTTTAATCTGAAAAGTTATAAATTGCTTTAAACATTGCTTACCCAACTGGTCAGTGACATGACCAGTTGCCATATCTTATCTAGAGCAATGTGAACAAATTTCAAGAGCCAGGTGACCTCAAAGCTTCCTCATACTTCTGAAATTCTTTAGGAGATTATACTGTGTCTGAACATATTTTCTTTTCCCGACACATTTTTGTCAATACCAGAAGCAGAAGTCAAACAAGGGTGTCGGTGCCATGGGTTCCCCCAGCGCTACCCTACCCTGCTAAACGGCGGTGCCTCCAGGATGGCAAGGGCGGTGTTGCAGGCGGATCCCCAGGCATGAGTAACCCTTATCATGGTAAACTTGCTGGGCCTGGGAATCCAGTTGGTTTACTTGTTGCTTCAGATATGCTGTCTATTCTTGTGCCTAGTTGAGGAGGGTTTAAGGTAGCAGGTGGCTGCCTTGCTCTGGGTTTCCTGCACCCCCTCCCCAGGGGGAAGCCCAGAGGCTGGGAACTGTGGAGCCAGCAATACTTCTAACCAGGCTTCCTCTCCCTACCAGGCGTGTGAGTGACTCAGTCTCCCTCCACTGTGTTCATTTTCCACTGTGGCACTGTTAATGGATAGGGCTGATCACTGAATGTCTTATTAGCTAGCACCTTAATGGGGTCATGGCTGCCCAAGGCCAGGTCTGGTCATTGCTCAGGTGGCTGAACTCACAACAGTATTGGCAATTTCCTCCAGTCCCCTAAATGCTTTATTAAAATTTCTTCTGCCTCCTGGCCATCTCATAGAAGCATAATATACTCATTTGCATCCTTTAACCTCAAGTAAACTCATCAATGGGAAGTCTTGGGGGAGACATGAAAGCATTTCAGATGACTCCCTGCCATCAAGACAGCAGCTGGTGCCCTTCTCCCCGGCAGCAACCTGGGGTCGGGATGTGTTCCTCTCCTGCCAAGATTGTGCCCGACTGAGGCTCCCAAAGGCATGATGCAACTGGGAGATGAGTGGTTACAGGTGTTGAGAGCACCTCCTCTCCCAGAGTGTATAAACCAAGCTGGAAAAACAGAATGTGCACCCACTGTGATTTATGAAGCTGTCACTCACGTTTTAAGGCAAAACCTGTATTCCTGAAGTTAGAAATAGGTTGTGTGGTGAAAGGTTTTTATTATCAAAAATACATTTTTTCCTAGAAACAGCATACATATGTGAATGTTCGTTTTCCAGGCTTGCCTCCAAAAGCTCACTGAACTCATCACCTAGCTGTACGACCCTGCATTTGCAGAGCAGAGCAGCAGCAGCCAGTAGTCTTTTGCATGGTTCCCACAGCGTTTTTGCTTCTCCCTGCTCTTGGGAGTTGTTTGAACCCCAGCCCAAGACAGTGAAGCTCATTCATTGTCTTCAAAATGGCAGGGCAGTGTTGGCCAGTAGTTCTCAGAGTCGCAGGGCAGGTTTGCCGAACCACACTGCTGTGCTTACCTGCAGGAGTCTTCATTCAGTGGGCCTGGGATGGGGCCCAAGAACTTGCCTTTTCTAACTAGTCCCCAGGTGGTGCTGATGCTGCTGGTCCCTGGAGCAGTTTGAGGACCACTGGAGCAATCATGGAAGGAAGTTAACCCTGTAAGGAGCTCCTGTGTCTGAATTCTTAAGAATCTGTGCAACCAGCAGTGCCCTTCTCCCCAAATTCATGAATAAACCCTGACAACAGCAAATTCCAAGCCGTCTTTTATTGATGAGGCCCTTGTGCAGTCTGTGCTTACATTCCCATATTCCGTTTCTTCCTGGGCCTGGCGTTGCAAATCACTCTGGAAGCAGATGGGGTAGAAAAAGAAGTCACCCTCCTCAGACCTCTGGAAAGCATACCTGTGTTGGGGGCATCGGCGAGCCAGTGTGTGTCCCAAGGAGTCCAGGGCAGAAGTGGGGACATTGTGACAGGCAGTGGCTTTCTACTTATCCCAGCCAGGCACCTTTCCCTGCATCCACTGACACAGAGCTTGGCTTTTCCTGAATTTTAGTGAAGCTGAGAACCACAGCTGTGGCCTCAGGGGCCTCGATAAGGCTCTGGAAGTTTGGAAACATGAGGCAGGACCTGAGCTTACAGTGCCCTCTAAGGATCCTCTGTGCTGCAGTCTGGGTAGCATAGAGACAAGGGGCGGGGGGAGACATCTAAGAAGACAGAACTAGGATCAGGGGTCAGCCCACCACCTTCCATGTTCCCCATCCCCTCCAATCCTGCCTCTGCTCCCAGAACACCTCCCGCTCCGGTGTTCCCAAATGCATTGGCGTGAATTTCTTCAGCTTCTTCCCTGCACCACCCCACCCCCGTCTCCACTGACCTGGAGTTGCGCGTCCAGACCAGAAGCTTTGCCCACTTCTTTGCAGCAGAAGCAGGGGCATCTAGACCCCCGGCTCTGTGTCTCCATGGCCTGGCCAGCAGGGACCCTGCTTATGTGCCCCTCTGGCCCAGATGAAAGCTGCATGTGGATTTGAGTCCACACTTGGACACACATCCCTTAGAGGGAACAAACAGGGGTTTACGTCCTGATCCTGCAAGTGGAGAAAAGAAAAATGAGAAGATTTGTATTTGTTTGTATTTTTCTTATTAAACAATATAATAGTCTGAATGTTGTATTTACTAATTGACCGGCTTTCTCTCCAAGGAGAGCAGATGGCTTTAGAGGGAAACATGGGAAAACGCAAGGGACACTTCCAAGGGCAAAATAGAATGTTTAGTTAAAGTTCATATTTCAACATTTACTACTAATGCTCGCTTTTATTTTTAAGACTCCTCATAAAGTTTGGGGAATGTTTTGGGATGAAAATGCAAAAGTTACTTTTAACCTCCTCATGTCATCACGATGCCCATGCAGAAAGTTGACAGGGTCTCCCAGCCCCTGGGCACTCAGAGCAGCTCTTCATGGTGAGGGACCACTGGTCCTCAGGGATGCCTGGTCTCCGTGGCTGCCCACCTCTGCCTCAGTTTACATTTCCCGTGGTGGTTGGGACAGAAGAATACACATCCCCAGACTTCCTGCGTCATTCTTTGCAGACTTATAATCTGTCCCAGACTAAAATGTTACATTTCCTTTTGTGGGCAAATTATATGTCTCATTGGATTTTCAAAACCATGGAAGAGACTCTGACTGGTGTATATGGCATGGTACTGGCAACGGTGCGGTGGTCCCTGCAGGGTTATTGTATTGCCCTTATAATTGAGTACGACTAGCTCTGTGTATGTTTCTCTCTGATTTATTTTCTATTTGCCCCTCTCTAGTGGGATCTTGTGTGTGATAATGCCTGGAAGGTCCATATCGCTAAGTTCTCCTTACTGGTTGGATTAATCTTTGGCTACCTAATAACTGGATGCATTGCTGACTGGTGAGTACCAACATGCCCGCCGCACGAACCTTTGGAGGCCACAGCACGCCTTTGCTGGCTAAAGAAAAATAGTCAGTGTTAGCTTACCATGACTGTCTTTTCCCAGTGCCAGAGCAGAAGGCCAAAGCTGCCACGTGGAGAATGCAGAGCTCGGAGAAATGGCCCATGCATGTAGCAGATCATTTGGAAGTGTGAATTTAAATTCAACGCAATTCTCTAGCTTCTAGAATATAGCAAAACCAGCCTGCAGCCCCATCTACTTCTAACCTTTGACGTTTCATTAGAAAGAGCTTGAAGACTTATGTGCAGGGCTGCAGGAGGTGGATGCACTAAGGGGCAGCTGCAGAAGATGCATTAAAAAATAGGGGATGGGGAAGCTAAAGACCCTTCCCCCATGCGAGCTGAATGAGTCAGGCAATGCTGATTAGCTCCTCTACATGTCACGTGGATTTTGGAGAGGGGCAGTCCTTGGCCAGGAGATGCCTCTGTGGGGTCTGTAGGGAGCTGCACCTTGAGTGATAAAGAGCATTTCGGTAATACAGATGGGCGCTGTGGGCAGGGGAGGGTGGTGGCCAGAGGTGAGAATGCATATGCAATAATGATAACATTAGCAGCTGAAAGATTACCGTGTAGCAGGCACTGTGCTAAGTAGTTCCATACATTAACATCTCCTTACAACACCCCGAATAGGAGATGCTATTATTACCTGTGTTTTACAGTTGAAAAAGCAGAGAAGTGTAAGTAAAATCTCCAAGTTCACTCAGCTTTAAGCTGGAGAGCCAGAACTTGAAACTCAGCCACCACGTGGCCTCAGAGCCTGCCCCTCCACCAGGATGCTGCAGCGCTTTTATTTAAGGCATTCTGTGGTCACAGGGGCAGCAGCGGTGAGGTGTCTAAGCAGGGAGGCAGTTGCACAATGTTGACAGGTTTTTCAAGTAGCGAGATTGCTCAGGAGAGAGGCGTAGTGTAACTGTCTCCCCAGCTTACATTCTTTTATCTTTAAAGGATTTTTTTTTTTTTTTTTTTTTTTGGTGAATCGAGACATCTTGGCCTTGAGGAAATAAGGGCCCAGAGTGATATGGAACAAATTCTATAGGTTCTGTGACCTCTGCACCTCAGTTAACTGAGAATGCTGGCCAAGGCAAGTGCCTGGGCGGACAGCAGCAGAGGGTCACATTACACATGTGGAAAATTTCTTCCAAAACCCAGCGTGTATTTGGGAGTTCCTTGAGCTGACATGTAATGTGATTTCCTGTGTGCTTGACATCTGCCTCATCATGATTTGCAAGTGCTTCTCATGGACACGTTCTCTGTGGACAGCAACAGAGAAGCAGTCAGTGACCTCTGGAGACCTACGCAGGGGACCTCTTGGGGGCTTTCTTTGGTAGAGGCAACACAGGGTTTATTTTTTTAAACCAAATACTTGAGTTCATAGGTTTCTAGTGTGGGCTATATTGGTCTAAAATATACCGTTTCCCAGAAATCTACATTGAAATAGGTTAGAAAAATATACTAATATAATCCATGTCACTGTCTTTCTAAAAAAATGCAAACTCAACTGGGGTTGTAGTGTCCTTATTCAATAAATAATTTAATAGAAAAGTAAAAATCGACTTTTATGAATGAACCAGTCTGTAACAGTTTAAATTGTTTAAAGATTGTTTTCTTAACTTTCTTCTTGTACACACATGTGATGTGGCCTCCCTGATCACACACCAGGCCTGAGGACAAAAGAGTTTGGGTCTTGCTCTTAGAGTAACCAGAAGTCTGACATCGCAAACCATTTCTCTGCAGTTGCTTTTCTGAGGTTCCTCCTCAGATGGGCAAGATTGAGGGGGTGCCCCGGGAATCAGGGGCAGGCTGCCTGAGTGGTAGTTTTTGAACATTTTGAGTGGCCTTCCCTTTCAGTTTGAAAGCTTGGTATTTTCCAACTCCATTTTCTGGCATTTGACTCCCTGCTTGAGCCTTGCTTAAAAGGAAATAAACCCATTTAAAGGGAACTCCAGACCTCTCGGCTATGGGCCCTGTTTCATGGCTGCAGGGGAAGTGGATCAAGTCATACAATATGCTTCCTAAGGCTGCAGTCAGCATTTAGTAACATTTAAGTAGTACACTTCTTTCTTCAAAAAGTTACATTTTTGACACCAAGTTTTGTCTGGGGATGTTCACTGGGTATTGGTATAGAATCTGCTAGCTCAGGTGGGTGGGAGGGCCGATGGCCAGTGGCCCCAGGGATGCGCTCACTTCTTCGCTGTGTTTGTTACTGCAGCAGCCCTCTGCCCCCTTCCCCAGCCTGCCCTGGGAAGCTGGCCAGTATGGGCTTCCACAGAGGACCCCTTGCCCGCCAGCTCCTGGCCGAGTGTGGCCAGTGGGGAGCACCAGCTGTAGATCCTCAGGGGAGAAGAGAGTGAGGTCAGGCACTTGTATGCCCAGCTTGCTCTCTGCCAGGTTGGAGGGGCCAGCCACCTCCTGTCCATGACCTCCACACAGCACCTCTTTCTCTCTGGGGCCAGGACCATCCTTCCCCTACTCCCTGCTGTCGAGAGCCGCAAGGTCAAACACCGTCTGTTGTGGGTTCCCTCTCAGCTTGTTTACTCTTCTGTAAATAATCCCTTTATTACCATCTCCTCCAGTCACTTCATTTGAGTGGGACCTCTGTTTCCTGTTGAGACCCTGTGTCGGTTCTCTATGGCTGCTGTTACAAATTGCTACCTGCTTGGTGGCTTCCAAAGCCCACATGAATGATCTTCCAGCTCTGCAGTTCACAAGTCCAACAAAGGTCTCACTGGTCTAAAGTCGGGGTGTCAGCAGGGCTGCATGCCTTTTTGCAAGACCCAGGAGATAATCTGCTCCCCTGCTTTTTCTAGCTTCTAAAGGCCACCTGCATTCCATGGCTCATGGCCCCATCCTCCGTCTTCAGAGCCAGCAATGTCAAGTCAAGTCCTTCTCACACCACTACCTCTCTGGTTCCCTGGAGCCAGGGGAGGTTTTCCTTGTCATTAGATTGGACCTACCTGGAAAGTCACCTCATCTCAGGGTCCTTAAGCTTAATCTCATCTTCAGAATTCCTTTTGCCATGAAAGGTAAAATACTCACAGGTTCTGAGGATTAGGACATGGACAGATTTGAGGACCATTGTTCTGCCCACCACAGATCCTAAGTGATAAAGTCCTCTGCATTACGGACAAGGACTGTGGCTTTATCAGTCCTCTCTGAGAGGGTTCTGCCCTGGGAGCCAGTTTCTAGGAGAACCATCCATGCTTGTAACTAACATGTATTGAACGCTTGCTGAAGCATTTGTTCATATCCACTCCTGTCGATAACATTATGAAGCAGACATTAATTGGCCCTTACCAAAGGGAACTCCAGGCTCGTTTGAACAAGCCTGGTCTTACTCAAGGTCACATAGTTCAGAAGTGGTGATCCTGGATTCAGAACCAACACACTCTGACTTCAAAGACAGTGTTTGCCCTGTAGACCTTGATAAGTTTTACTTGTTGATTTTAGCCACCATTTTTCGGGAGGCAGCACGCTTAAAAAAATCGAACATCTTTTCTAAAATATCAGAACAGAGCAAACCATGTTTGGTAGGCATCAGGGACGTGGAAACGCAGGAAGGAATGAGCACTACAACATTGCATTATTTCCTCTGCGCCAGGCGTTGCATCTGTGCCCATCATCCCCCCTAGTGAAGGATCTCAACACTCCACAATGTGGGATGCTTATCCCCATTTCACAGACCAGGAAAGTCAAGGGTAATGCAAAATGTTAGAGTTAGTTCATTTTTCTTCATTTTAGGAGAATGACTAAAGCTGTATTTTAAATTTATTTTTGTCAATGAGTTAGATTTGGACAAAATCAGCTACACAGTCTTTGCTGGTAAGGGCTTCCTGATCCCAGCACTGGACAAGGGAAAGTAATGGCTAAAATCTCCAGGTGAGATTATTGACTTACATTGAGCTCCTAGCCTTGGCCTTGTTTCACTAAACCAAAGTGACTGATGGGAATGGTTAGAACTAAAAGTTCTGAGTGTAATTTCATCCTGTTGTTCCTTTCCCTGTATTTTCTTAAAATTCCATCTATCTCTATAGGGTAAGGCCATGCCTTAATTTTTTTTTTTGAAGTTTTATTGACATATAATTTGCATCCCATAAAACCCACCCATTTTAAGTGCACAATGGAATGAGTTTTAGTATATTTGCAGAGTTGTACAGCCATCACCACACTCTGAATTTAAAACATTCCCATCCCCTCAAAGGATGATGGAAACATCACCCCCCAGTCCTGGACAACCACAAATCTACTTTCTGTTTCTGTATATTTGTCTTTTCTGGGCATTTTACTTGCATGTAGATGTCTTGTAATTAACACGTCTAGGACAGTTCGAGCCCCTCAGCTACCCTTTGTGGTACTGGGGACAGGAGGTCTGGATTTTTCCCCCTTTTTTCTCCTGGCAAATAGCATCCACTCTGCCCCCATTTCTCTGAGTTATCCTTTAGACCAAGCCAATCGTGTTTGATGGAGAGTTATTGTTGCCATTTTATTTCTAATCGGTTAATCAAGGAAAGATGGAAAGTTAGCATGGGGCCACAGGAACTGGTGACTTCCCCATTCTTGTGGACCACCCTCTACTGTCCTCCCAGGCACTCTAGAAGCACATCGCCCCCTAGTGGTCACTGATCTGAAACTGGCCAGCTCCAGAACCCACGAATTGAGGGTATCTGTGGCCGTTTCCAGAGAATCATCACAGCCTGGGCTCCCTGCCTCTCAGTCCAGCCGAGGGGCTGCACTGTCAGCTCACTATCAGGTCACTGGGCATTTAAAGTTCACGCTGTCTTACCTTAGTGTGTGATCCCTTAAAAATTACTTCTCGTCGTGTAGCTGAAACAAATTGACAGATGGCTTGGCCCTGGCTCGGATAGGCTGTGTGTAGGATCAGGTATCTGACTTAGTTAACAACCTGGGGAGAGGAAACAAAGCCGCTTTGCTTGGTGACCATGTTGACTTTTGATCCAATCCCAAAGGTCAACGATTTCTCAAGACTTTTTATGCTGGGTGTATCAAGGTTCCTGTTTGGAGAATTATTAATTTTGTTCCCCTTGCCTTGAATTATATCACTATACACTCAGAAATAGACTCAGCAACAGGAATTGGGCTCAAGTCTGAATTCTCTTACTCTGTAATTGGTTGATCTCTGCTCCCTTATCTCGAGAATTAGGGGGTTGGGCTAAATCTCCCTTTTTACCCATAGTAGCCTAGGATCTAGTGAAGTGGGTATAGATGGCACAGGACTTTTTACCCAGTACTCATTCAACATATATTGAGTGCCTGCTGGACACCGGGTTTCAGCATCTAGCGTCATTGTCTTGTTTCACAATGATTCCTAACTTTTTCCCTCTCCATATGCAGGGTCGGCCGGCGGCCTGTGCTGCTGTTTTCCATCATCTTCATTCTGATCTTTGGACTGACTGTGGCACTGTCAGTGAATGTGACAATGTTCAGCACACTCAGGTTCTTTGAAGGATTTTGCCTGGCTGGAATCATTCTCACCTTGTATGCTTTACGTAAGTAGGAGCCTTCACGACTAGTCTTGAAAGAATTTAGCAAAAGTATTGTTGCCTGGGAGGTTCTGGGAAAGATACTGTGCATGCTGCTCGTGTGGGCTGGCAGTTTTGTGGAAACACAAACATTAAAGGCCTCAAGTGTTGTGAAAGAGGCTTTTCAGGTGATGCCGTGAAACATTTCACTCAATCCTGATCTCCAGCTCGGGCTCAGTGCACATCAAAGGACACGGGAGGTTGCGTAACTGCTTGGAGGAGTGGCGATCGGTTCTTTCCTGATATGGAGAGGCTTTCGGTTTTCTTCAGAATTGTCTGCATTGACATCCTGTGTGCTTCTATCTGGTGCATAATTGGGTATCCACACAGAATCCAAACTTTCCACATTCTCATGTCCACAGTTGTGTCCTTAAGTGGTCTGGAACTGAGACCTAAGCATTGGTACTGGAAAAGTAAATGACAGCATTAGCTAGTATTTGGTCTTTTTAGGAGGGTGAGACATTTCTTTCATTGATCTATCTTGTCTGTTGGCTGTATTAACTCTGCTGAATATAGTTAGGTTTCACTTATTTGTAGGTGGTGTTTGCTAGAACACAACCACACACCCATAAGGAGAAGAAGAGTTTTAGGCGTGGTTATTTTACTTATTTACTGGCTTTATACTTTTTAGTCACTTTGTGGAAAGATCTGTTGGGAATACTGTAAGATTTACCATGTATTTTGTCTTTTTCTCTTTCTTTGACCACACGCACAGGAGTCAGGTATAGATTAAGTAGCAATTTCCAGTGTGACAACATAAGAATAGTTCTAATTCTCTTAAATTTGCATATTAAAGACTTCTTTTAGATAGCTAAAATTTTTGTTCCACTAGAAATATAATCCATTCAGGACATAGTTTTATTGTCACAGGAAGGAGCAGACACAGAAAAAGGCTACCGGTATATTCTTCTAGATCCGTAGTTGGCCGTTTTGTCATCAATGTTTAACTGAATTGTAGTTTCTTAGAAATCACCTTTTCCAGTTTACTTGCATTTGTCTTAGAACCCTTGTCTCTTGGGAAGTTCTTTAGGAAGATATGCATGACAAGATGAGTGGGCCTGGGTGATGGTGTTTGGGGAACTTGTTTCTTTGAATAAATAATGCGAGTATTGGGCTTGAACCTCCCCAGGCAAAATGCCTGTGCCGTTGTCTATGGCCCTGACCCCTGACAGTCTGTGCAGAGGAACAGGTCTAAGCACTTTTCTGGAGAAGCCTCCTGGTCCTGCCCTCAGGCAATCCCTTGGCCCACATGTGTGCAAGTGCGCCGGGACCCTTGCTCTGGGCAGCCGTCCTTGTCAGGCTTCCATTCTCACAGGGGGAGGGCAGTCCAGTCCTCTCACGTGGATGGTCATAAAAGGGGACAGCTCTGCACTAGGACAAAATGGAATAGCTGTGCTTCAGGAGCTCTGCAGAGAATATAACCTCAGCCTCACCACCCCCAGGCAAGAGAGTGTTCATGGAAAATTACCTTACCGCAAAGATGGTGTATTGGTTTTATCTTGCATGCCAATTACTAATGACTGGCTGAAGCTGCCAGAGAATGGGGAGAAGACTTCTGAGGAGACTTTGGGGCTCAGCAGAAGAGAACACCTTGATCCATTAGCCATGTCTGCCAGTGTCAAGGAAGGAGGGTAGGGAAGGGCTACCTGTGTAACTGGCATTTGCCATCTGGAGAGACTATCCATGAATGAAGCCAGACCAGGAGTGAATTGTACCTGAACGGCATTGTTTCCACCTCACATATTCATAGAATTGTTTTACTGACTTGCACTGTGACATCATGCCATTGACCTCTGAAGCCAGTTGTTATATTTACTACAAAATATTATGTTGAAGATGTGTTTTCATTAGATTACATAGTGAGCTGTTTATAGCAGAAGGTTCTCTTCTACTTCAGAACCATTCAAAGAAAGTACTTACCCTAGGAGATTGCTTCCCTCCAGTCTCTTAGGCACAGAATCATATAACCCAGACACTGGCAAACTTTTTCCATGTGGGAAATTTTTCAGGCTTTGCAGGCCATATGGTCTGTCACAGTTACTCAACTCTGCCATTGTAGCCTGAAAGCAGCCATAAAGAATATGTAAATGAGCAGGTGTGGCTGTGTTCTAATAAAACTTTATTTACAGAAACAGATGGTGGGCCAAATTTGGCCAGTGGGCCATAATTTTTCAACCACTGATGTAAATATTTGTGTGTGGGCCTGATAACACAAGCTTTAAATTCTGACCTCTCTCCTAGTTTCATCTTAACTTCCCTACTTTAATGTCTGCTTTGTCCCATTTTTCTTCCTCCATAATTTGTGTTATTTTGTGTGTATCTTAGTGTGTATGTTATTTAGTGTAAGCAGCCTTAGGTTTTTTTCTGCAATAAAGCAGGGCATAAATGGTCATGTTTTCTTAGATAGGGACCACAAATTAAACAAACATCATGACAAATGCCATTGCAGTGAAAATGTCCCAAGTATCAACAAGTGATTGACCCACTGTTAGACCTAATAAAGTATTTGGGGTTACACAACTAAACTAAACCAAAGGGCTGTGAATGATGACTCGGAGTTTGTTGAGATATTTAAACAATGAAAATTTAGGAGAGTTGGTTGAGAGATGGCAAAAGAGCAAAGCTTCTGAGAGAAGAATAAAAGGAAATAAAGGGAGAATTTAAAAAGGAAATAGTCATAATGGGCAGGTGGGATTGGGGTAGGATATGGTTGGGGTGACCCATGTCTCTGCACACATGGCAGTCTTAGGAGAAGGCAGAGGCTGGTGACAAGAAGTTAAGACAGCAACTCCCAGTCAATAAAGCTGAGTCAAAAAGCGGAGTCACTGAATATCCATATTAATGTACTTGCTAGCATTTTATACACAGTAGTATTTATGCCTAGGTAATGCTTGGAAATTTGTTTTACTTGAAGAAAATTATTGATAAGCCAGGTCACAGGGTTGAAGTACTTCTTAACTCTAAAGGGAAGTTTAAAACTTTGGGACATTGATTATTTGGAAGTTACATTTGTAATGGCCCCAACTTCTTTTCTTCCTCCAACCATAAGGTTTTTATCTCACTTAATGCATCTGCTGGAAAGGCCTGTGCTTTCTCAGAACAGAACTGGATAGCATTCTTTTTTTAGTCTTGCAGGTGCTTGGCAATGTAAGTAGGGAAAGTAATGATTTTTGCAGTTTTAGTTTCTTGTATGGCTTGCCGTAAGGGTGGACTCTTCATTTTGAGAAATGCTGCTGACTTGTGGAAGTTTTCTGCTTTATTTGCAAGGCTGCTGAAGGTTTTTTTTTTCTGCTTTGGAGTTTTTCTAAAGTACATCCCAGTTAAATACTCTACACTTTACATGTTTGTTTCCCTCAAGTCGCCAAAGGGAGATGTGGTTGTGTAATTAGTACATAAAATAGAGATTACTGGCATCTTCCTAAGGAGTGTTTGCATGGAAGCAGAGTGCACATTGGCAAGAGCAAGAGAGAACAAGCCAAGCTCAATGGATTTCCCCAGCACAGTAGTGGCCTCTAAGACCTTTGTGAGCCACTGAACTAATTTCTAAATACACTTGGACTGGATCAGTGGCCTCTGGACACACATACGCACACACACACATGCGCGCACACACACACACACACACACAGGCAGTCGAAAAACTGACTTAGCAAGGCGAGGGGCACGGACCAAGAAAAGAAGCAATAGATCACATTTTCCTATTTGTTTATGAAAGTACAGTCTTATTTTCAGCCTAAAGAAATGGACACTTCTCAGCATAGGCGGACGTGATTGGTTGTGGTATGAATCCTTTTCCTAACCAGGATCCATAATATCACAGACAAGGTAATATAGCACTGTGAAGGATGTGTCTTTCTTCAAATGGAGCCATGAGAGATGGTGGTTTTTTAAGTTGATTTGATGTTGGATGTAGTAAGTCCTGTGGGAGAGAATTTTTTTAAATAAAAAATACTGTTTAAAAGTGTCTCTTCTAACTTGATCTCTACCTTTTCCCCTCTCCACTTCTAACTGCCCCCCACCAGCTACACTTTCCCAGTTTGAAATAATGAACAATACCTTTTGCTGACAGACCAAACCTTAGTTCCTGTGGGCAAATGAAGGGTTTTTTCCCCCCAACAATGAACAATTTTCTTGAAAAAGTCTCTCAAAGATGTTCTTATTGTAATAACCCTCCTTCAACCCAAACAGCCTAAATGATTGGATAAATGTTACACAAGATCAAGGAGCAACCAGGAATTTCACAGCTGACTCAGTTACTGATTACTTTGCAAAAATAGAAGCCAAGTCTTGACTTAACTGGTAATAGACTCAGAGTTTGAGTTTGCTCTGGGTGGGGTGCTGATCCCTTTTTCACATGACAGAAGTGATTGAGTAATTTCTAATGTGCTGGTGTTGGATGGCTTTTTCTTTCTCACTATCCCATATATTTTTACACTTTGATATTTCCCTGAACTAATATTCCTTGCAACTTATTTCAGTCAACAGGATCTTTAAGCATCAGCACTATGCTATATATGTAAAAAAAAAAAAAAAAAATTTGACTGAGCCAAATGGCTCCACAGAGTGAGTTGTCAAAGTGTGGAATGAAGAGAATGGAGATTGCCGATGTCAACTAGAAATGGCTTCAGCTACCTTGTGGGCTTCTGGGGAGCAAACATTTGCTCTGCATTTGGGTGAAGGGAAAGTTTCGCATGAATACGTGCTCGGTCGTCTCTTTGTCTCCACCCGGTTTCCCCATCTTCAGATACGTGGGCCTTCCCAGTAGCAGCAAGTTCTCAGGGCAAAAAGCCCTTCTCCTGGTGGGACCAACTCCACTCACAAGGCTATTTCCACCAAGGAAATGAGTCAGAGTTTACCGAAGGCCTTTGACAAACTTTTTTTTTTTTTAAATTTTTTGAGACAGTCTCGCACTGTCGCCTGGGCTGGTGTGCAGTGGTGCCATCTCAGCTCGCTACAACCTCCGCCCCCCAGGTTCAAGTGATTCTCCTGCCTCACCCTCCCAAGTAGCTAGGATTACAGGCACCCACCACCACATCCAACTAATTTTTTTGTATTTTTAGTAGAGACAGGGTTTCACTATGTTGGCCAGGCTGGTCTCGATCTCCTGACCTCGTGATCCGCCCGCCTCGGCCTCCCAAAGTGCCAGGATTACAGGCATGAGCCACCGCACCTGGCCGACAAATCTTTTTTTTTTTTTAAGCTTCAAAGGAATTTTGATTTTACTGAGGTTCAGATGGGCACAACAGGGAAATCGGAGCAGATTGAGGTCTCTCCATTGGTCATTTTCTTCACTGGAAACACATTACTAACCCTGCGGGCAAACTGCGAAAAGCAAAGGAGTAAATTTCTAAGCAAAAAGTAACAGGGCATTTGCTCTGTACCCCACTGTCTTCCCTTATCCCACCTCTGAGCAGTCAGAGCTTCTGGGCTCACTGCAGGGTAAGTAAGAATAGAAGCATCTGGTGAGGCAGTTCCAACCCCTGGGAAGGCGAGAATGCTGTGGTGGCCAGTTAGGCAGGGCCACTGGTCATGGGTCAGAGCCTGGAGGGGTGAGCCATCCAGCAGGGAGCCACAACATGCCACTGAAGACTGATTTTTCTCAAAATTGTGCCAGTCCTTCAAATAAAAATTTACTCAGGCCTTTCTCTCTATCTCTACCTATATGTTCGCCAAAACCTGGACTTTTCTTTCTATAGACATTTCTCTGGAAAAAATGCAAATGTCTCTAGGGCATGTAAGGATATATCATCTCACCTGCATATTAAAAATGGAAATGTGAGGACAGAGAAAGAATAAGCGGCCAGTGGCATCACTGAGACCCATCTGCCCAGTCTTCTGTCCAGAAGTCTGTGCAAGAAAACATGTAGCTATTGCCTAAATGTACAGATAGGCTTTCCAGTGCATATATCTTTTGGTGTTTTGAATTTGGTGAAGGTAGATCTATGTCCAAATCAGAGGAAAATAGTAGCAAATACTCGGAGATATCTGGGCATTTTAAAATTAGAGTATTTGGATGCTTTTCCACACAGGGGAGGCTGTTCTTAAACTGTGCGTCAAAACCTTACGGACTAGGTTTTTTCCAGACTGGAATTTCAGTAGTGTGTCTGTGCTTCATTTGAAACAAAGCTGTTCACTACTCTAAAAGGGGAACTGAAAAGATCTGAAAATCAGGAGATCTGAGCTGGATTGCAGACTCCACAGTTGACTGACGGTGACCGTGACAGATTGTGAGATCTCTCTGAGCTTGTGTCTCCCTCTCTATAAAGTAAGGGATGAGATTTAAACCAAGTTTTGTGTAGCTGTGCGATCGCTTCCTGGGATAACTCGTGGAGAAAATGAATGGAAAACAAAACAAATGGAAAACTATTGAGCTTCAACGTAACTTCCAGTTTTAGAATTCTATGGCTTTTGAATTCTTAGCCATTAGCCTCCTTCAGTGTTGAAGATTTCTTGGGGTGGGAGTGGGGGCAGTGAAACCAGGGGTGCTTCCTCTTACCCCCCTAGATGTGCCAGTCTCAAGTCCACACTAGTACCTAGTGTTGTTGGACTTCCATCCTTCCTCGCTGTGTGGCTGCTGCGCCAGTGCCGATCTATAAAGTGAGCTGGGAAGAGATGCTGTGATAGGGTAAGATTAATGGTTAACAGCTTCCCTTTCCCCAGGGTTCCAGACCCTGCCCTCATGTCAACAACCTTGCCCTTGCTGGCCCCTGCTGGAAATCCTTTCCTGCTTGCTCCATTCGCCTCTCTTACCACATGTTTGCTGGCTGGAATCCTATTACACTCCCTGGGAGTTTTTTTTTTTTCCACACCTGGACAGACAGGATGGGACCTGAAGCTAAAAGCTGAGTCGACCAGAAAAAATTGTTCAGGAGTGTAAGAGAGCAATACTGGGCTGACTTTGTTTTGTTTTATGTTCTTAAAAGCAAATTAAAAGAGGAAATAAATCAGTCACCTTGAAAACAAGTAAAAAAAAAAAAAGCAAAACATTAGGCTTCTTGAAAACATCCAAATGTATCTAGTGGGAAGCAAAATCATTACTGGTTTGCCAAGACTTGCTGTTATTGAAAAGACAGACTCTTGGCTGAGAGCACAGAGAGAAATATAACTCAAATGGTGCAGAGCCATGAAAGTTTGTTGTCAACAACTGTTTCTCAAATCAGCGCATCCTGCCAGATAGGCTCTGCTACAAAGAGTTTAAGTTTTAGTTTTTCATGACCTGCCCGGAAGCACAATTTTCTCCTTTGCTCATTTGCTCCATGAACATGTGAGGACCTGTCGGGTGCCAGGGGATGGACAGTTGGTTCCTTGATTACATACTAAACCCTTGCCATTGTTGAGTGTTGAGGACATAGAGGCAAGTACGTGCTCCTGCCCTCTAGCGCACTCAGAGTTTAGTGAGTGAAGAGGCAGAGACACACCCTGCTGGGACAGTGAGCACCAGAGGAGACTCCTGAGCTGTGAGTTCTGTGGGGTCAGGGAGAATAGGTGTTTGCTATTTGCAGTGGGTGCTTAGATCCTAGAAGAGCCTAGTGTACTCTGGGTAGTATAGGTGATTGGGGTTGGCTGGAGCCTAGTGCACTCTGGGTAGTGTGGATGATTGGAGTGGGCTGCAGCCTAGTGCACTCTGTGTAGTGTGGATGATTGGGGTTGGCTGGGGCCTAGTGCACTCTGGGTAGTGTGGGTGATTAGGGCTTAGCTAGAGCCTAGTGCACTCTGGGTAGTGTTGGTGATTGGGGTCGGAATCTAAATTATGAATAACAAAGCCAAGGAAGGAGGATGGAACAACACACACAGACCTATCCTCCATGACCTTAAGGTAGTGGCAGGCCACTGAAGGATCTCAATTGAGAAAGATAAGCCTTAGATGCATGTTTTGGAGAAATGTCTCAGGCTGCAGTGTGAGCAGGCCAAAGAGGAAAAGAAGGCCAAGCTAGGAGCTGGGAGGCTGCTGTGGTAGTGAGGCGAGGAAGAAGAGCCCGAATGAGGGCCATGGCCATGGGGCAGGAGAGACACTGAGGATGCAGAATCACAGCCTCAATGACTGAGGAATGGGGAGAAGGGTGAAGGAGGGCCAGGGGACTTGCCTGGATACCTGGAGAGGGGATTTTTCTCTGAATGGTGATAAAAGGGATTCAGCCCAAGCATTCTACTCTGATTCCAAATCCTGTAGAGTCTGAAGCTACCGACCACTCCCTTCCTCCCATGAGTCTGACAGGGGAAGATGATGACCTCTGTTTCAGACCTGGTAAGCTGATGGAGACTTAGGGCATCTGAGAGGATTGATTTGCCAGGAGATTTGTTATTCAGAAGTTCAGGAGCAAGGCCCCCGTGTCCTCAGGATGAAGGTAGCAACTAAAGGTTACCAGAGCTGAGCTCACCCAGGGGCTCTGTAGCTGAGCAACAAATGGGTGGAGGTAGAAGAACCAGTGGAGAGAGACAGGGAGGAACCGACTGTGTGGTCAGTGGAGAGTCAGACCAGGCTGGTTACCAGGGAGCCAAGGAAGGGGCTGACAGCAGAGTCAAGTGATGCAGGACATTGAAAAATGTCCTTTGGGCATAGCAAAGATTGCCCAGTAGGTCAGAGGTAAGTGTGGCAAAGCAACTTTAATTCCATGTAGTGATTAATGTAATGTGAATTATTTCGAGCATAGGTTTTAATTTATGTATGCCTCAGAGAAGCACTGTCTTGTCCTATGCCAAGTATTTTAGAAAGAAAGTTATATTTTTTTTTTACTGTGGCAAAATATACATTACATACAGTTTACCATTTCAGCCTTTTTTGTTTTGTGTTTTGTTTTTTGTTTTTGTTTTTGTTTTGAGATGGAATCTCACTCTGTTGCCCAGGCTAGAGTGCAGCGGCACAATCTCGGCTCACTACAACCTCCATCTCCCAGGTTCAAGCGATTCTCCCGCCTCAGCCTCCCAAGTGACTGGGACTACAGGCGCCACCACGCCCGGCTAATTTTTGTATTTTTAGTAGAGACGGGGTTTTGCCATGTTGGCCAGGCTGGTCTCAAACTCCTTACCTCAAGTGATCCACCCACCTCGGCCTCCCGAAGTGCTGGGATTACAGGCATGAGCCACCATGCCTGTCCCATTGCAGCCATTTTTAAGTGTGCACAATTTAGTGATATATTTCCATTGTTGTGCAAGACAATGTTTTTTAGAGTGTTAGATGTTCATTATTATTGAGCAGAAAAAAATGGAATTGGAAGGCAAGTCGGTAATGCCTATTTTTGCTTAAAGTCACCTGAAACATGATATTCCCGTGACTCAATAACTGGATATTCAGTTACATTTAGTACAATTGAGTTGAGTTAGAGATGCAGTTTTGTTCTGATGTTCCAGTGTCCATACTGAAAGGCAGTGTGTGAAGACTTGCCATATCCCCACCCTCTTTCTCATCAACACACACCCAAGTGCACACACGTGCGTGTGATCACACGGAAACAGTTGAGAAGATGCTTGGGTGGAATCCAGGCTTGGATTGGAAGCCAAGCCCCCCACTTGCCAGTTGTGACCTTTAACAAGGTAGCTGACTACTCAAAGTCAGTTTCCTCACCTAGGAAAGATTGGGCAGGTGGCTGACCAGATGAACGTGATTGTCATCTGTAAAACCATGAAGTTCCAGGGAAGTGTTGGTGGACATTTGCATGTTTGTGACGTGATGGCCACCATCCTACTGCAAGCACCAGAGCTGCCCTGAGATACCATCCTACTGCAAGCACCATTACTGCCCTGAAATAATCGGCCCTTTCCTCTTCCACGAGGCCCACTCATGTGAGGGAATCTCTGGGCTCGCAGCAAGCTTGGGAACTTTGGACTGTGGCTGTCTGGTAGCTTAGAATAGCAGAATAACTGGTGGGTGGGGGCAAGAATCTGCTTCATAATTGTTTTTCCAGTGGTCAGCTTAATAAATTACCTCTCTTATAGCATCCATTCAGAGCTTTTAAAATTCATTTTAAAATGCAATCATGGGCGGGGCGCGGTGGCTCATGCCTGTAATCCCAGCACTTTGGGAGGCCGAGGCGGGTGGATCACTTGAGGTCAGGAGTTCGAGACCAGCCTGACCAACATGGTGAAACCCCATCTCTATTAAATGCAAAAAATTAGCCAGGCATGGTGGTGCATGCCTGTAATCCCAGCTACTTGGAAGGCTGAGGCAGGAGAATCGCTTGAACCTGGGAGGCGGAGGTTGCAGTGAGCTGAGATTGTGCCATTGCACTCCAGCCTGGGCAACAAGAGCAAAACTCCGTCTCAAAAAAATAAATGCAATCATATATTGCATTTTGAAAGTCTTAACCACTTCAGGGGTAGGAGAGGACAATAAACTCAAGAAAAAATTCTCCTGGACAGATCATTCCTAGGGCTCTTCTATCGACTCCCTGAGTATCCATCACTCACAGAATGCTTCATTAATTGGTAAGAAAACCCACTGAAGAAATAGAATAGTGGTACTCATTTTCAAGATTTATCTTATCTGTATGCAACCTCTCCCTTTCCCTTCCTTGTATTAATCCCTAAAAACGCCTGTAAACATTTTGTTCATATTGTTAAATATTAACTCAGGACGTTGCTCATTATCCGTAACACAGCTATAGGCTTGGCCCTGTTGTTTGCCATGTTCTGCCATAAAGTTTCACTGCCTTCCTTCTGGAGGGGCGGATGGCAGTTCCTGTTTGCGATGTGGCTGTGTGAGAATGTGTGTTTTCAGGATGGACATGAATGGCTGCTTGAGGAAGGGCATGACTTTGAATAACACATGGTTCATTTTTTATTGTATTTTCAAATGGCTCTTCTGGGGGAAAAACAGTTCAGGAACCACATTCCGATTGCTGGCCCAAAATCCATGTAAGACTTAGAAAATATTTGGGGTGAAATGATGGGCAGTGCCTTGTTTTGCACATTTTATGATGTGAGTTCGTGGTCCCCTCTGAAGAGGCGTTTCCTCTGCATGGTGAACAACTTCCCAAGTCCAGCCGCCAGGCCTGTAGGAACCCACCTCCCACTGGCCCAGACTCTGGAAGCAGGGCCTTGCTGGTGATTCTCTAAATGGTGAAGTCAGACTCAGGGGCCTTCTGAGTGTTTTTCGTTTTTTCGGTTTTATTATTTTATTTTATTTTTAAGAGTCAGAGTCTTGCTCTGTTGCCCAGGCTGGAGTGCAGTGGTGCGGTCACAGCTGACCGAAGTCTCGACCTCCTGGCCTCAAAGGATCTTCCCGCCTCAGCCTCCTGAGTATCAGAGACCACAGGCATGCACCACCGTGCCTGGCTACTTTTTAAATTTTTTGTAGAGATGAGGTCTCACGATGTTGCTCAGGCTGGTCTTGAACTCCTGGATAAAGCAGTTCTCCCATCTCGGCCTCCCAAAGTGCTGGGATTACAGGTATGAGCCACCACATCTAGTCCTGGGTGTTTTCAAAGCTAAGACCTCTACCCCACTAGAAACCAACGTCAAGGAGCCTGAGGAGGCAGGGAGGGTTGCAGCTGGGGTGAGATGCTCTTGGGCGAAGCTGCAGGGCCTCCACTTCAGGGCAGTGTTCCCAGGTGACAGAGTGGGACAGCTCAGAGGGCCTCTGAATCTCCTGCACAGAACACCGAGACCAGAAAATGGGTCTCTGATTAAGGGCTGTTATTTTCTTTTCGTTTTTCCTTCCACAGGGCTTTTGATGATTCTTGTAAAAAAAAAAAAAAAAAAAAATAGTGCTTTGTATCCAAGCAGAGTTGGCTCTGCCTGCTCCTGTTTGCTGGCTGAGAGGTGCTTGCGTCCTTTCTAACCTCTGCCTTTTGAAAGCATGTCTTGCTTGTTATTTGCTTTGTGTGAGTTCTGGGAAAAGGCTCAGAACTCCCTCCAAACCAAAGTCAGATTATCAGGGTTGGGGGTAGGGTTAGGAATTAAGGGCTATTTACTTCTAGTTCATTTCCCCATCCATATCAGTTTTAAATAGTAAATACATTTTGCTAAGTTCCTGTGGGGCTTAGAGTTTTTCACTATTTCTTCCTTGGCATCAGTTTAATATGTCGAACTGGCATTGCTAAGTGTGCAAGGCTCCCAGGGTGAACAAGGACTCTGAGATGGAGAAGAATGCAAGGGAAAATATGATTTCTCCTCTTTGGTAAATAGTACTGGCTGCTTTGTGTTAGGGTGGGGTCATGTGACTACCCTCACTACATGGGAAGTGTTTGCTGGGAGGCCCCAGGGCCCCCCATTCTTGGTCATTTGCTCCCCGTTGGGCTGACCTCAGTGCTTGGAGCGTGATTGTGTCTCATATCTCATTATGTCATTCCCTTACCTCTTTTTAGAAAGAACCATATACAGCCCCGGAGTGTAAGAGTTAGACATCTAGTAGCTACAGTGAATCTTGGCTTGAGACCTCCCTTTTGGCACACCTCAGCATGTGTGCATGTATATAGCATGGTGCTGTATAGCTGAGCACTGTTTTGATATTAAAGAGTAAAAAGGGATTGAGGCTATCATGATAGTGCCTTGACAACAATGGATGATAATAAGCTATTTATTCAGCATTTTCTAAGTTCAGAAACTATGCTGAGTTATACATATGTACATATACACAAATATATAGAAAGATATGTAAATTTCATAGTAACCATGTAAAGTAGCTCCCACAAATAGCCCCATTTTACAGTTAAGGAAACTGAGACCTCTAATTCCTGGACCTTGTCTAATTTGCTAGAGATGCCTTTAAGCCAGAGATAACACTTACTGAGCTTGTACACTGCGTCTTCCCTGAGCCCCTCTCGCCAGGGAGCCTGGCCAGCCAGGATGTGACTCTCCATAGGTGACACGGAATTGTCATGTGGGGACTGTGCAAAGGTGAACTTTTTCACTGCTGAGTGCTATGGAACTATTTAATCCACCCAGTAATTCTGTGATATGAGCACTCATTTCATAAACAGAAATCTGAGGCCTAGGGAAGGTAACTTGCCTAAGGTTACATACTAATGAAATGGGAAAAGTTCCCTTGTCCCCCTTGCAGGGTGTGGGATGGGAGAGTGGGTCACTCTTCCAGTGCCCTGCTGCTCAAACCTCTAGAGGAGCATAAAGCGGACAGGCTGTGGGGCTGCGACCCCACAGCAGCGTCTATGGGTGAATGTTTACAGCTCCTGAAGCCCCGGTGGGCGTGCGTGACGGGGTGCTCTTTTAGTTTAGCCATCGGAAGGCAGCTTGTGTTGGCTCAGTCAGACCCCTGCCTTATTGCAAGGACACAGGGCTTTCTGTATCCTGGGGTTCTTGCCTTGGTGTACCAGAAGAATCGGATCAACCTGGGTTTGGAGAATGAGTGCAAGGTTTTATTGAGCGGAAGTAGTTGTCAGCAGATGCGGGAGCCAGAAGGGAGATGGGTTTTCCCTGGAGTCAGGCTGCTCGGCAGCCTCGCTCTTCTCCGACTGCCCCACCAAATTCCATGTCATTCTGCTGGTCGATGGCCTGCCAGCCTGCTGGTGCATGCCGGTGCCTGCTGGGGCATTCCTCTCAACATCCAGCCGCCTGTGTGTTCCTCTGCTGATGTGCTCCTCTCAATGTCCAGCTGCCTGTGTGCCTCCCTGCTAGGGTCTTGGGGTTTGTTGTTGTTGTTTTGTTTTGTTTTTGAGGTGGAGTCTCACTCTGTCACCAGGCTGGAGTGCAGTGGCGCGATCTTGGCTCACTGCAACCTCTGCCTCCCGGGTTCAAGTGATTCTCCTGCCTCAGCCTCCCGAGTAGCTGGGACTACAGATGCCCAGCTAATTTTTGTATTTTTAGTAGAGATGGGGATTCACCATGTTGGTCAGGATGGTCTCGATCTCTTGACCTCATGGTCTGCCCGCCTTGGCCTCCCAAAGAGCTGGGATTACAGGCATAAGCCACTGCACCTGGCCATCTCCGGGGCACAGGATGGGGGCGTGGCAGGCCAGGGTGGTCTTGGGCAGGAAATGCCTGTCCTCACCTAGGTCTGTGGGGATGGAGCCCTAGCCAGGGACCATGCCCTCCTCTACCCAGCTCTTCCCTTCCTAGCACTTCCCTTCCGTATATCACTAAGAGATGGAGCAAACAGAACTTCCCCGGTCCCAAGTCCGCCTGGCTCTAGTGCCCTGTTTATACTGCTGTGTTGTTCCCAACAGCCCCATCTTTTTTTGACTTGAAATATGTTAGTATAGTATTATTTAAATGTGTACAATCATCTTGTAAGGAATTTGCATGAGTTCTCGTAACTTCCAAATAACTATAAAACCAAAATATTAACAACAGTTTCAAAACCTGTATAATATAATTTCAATCCAGGAGTTCCATGTGATGGACAATAGTCTTTTCCTGAAACAGAATTACCCACTGACTCATGATGGGTTGAATAGGAGAAAGATGTAGCTTCAGATTCAGATTAATATTTAATCTATTTTGGCATTTTGACTTGAGTAATGCCAGTATACATGTTGCCTTTTTGCGTAATTTTGCCATCTGAGATGGCAGTGATTTTAAGGCTTGGCTGACATGGAATACTCAAGCTTTATGTATTTCACCCCTGGCCTGCTCCATGAGCAAGCCTCAGTCATTCGCTATAATGGGGTGCCTGATGGCTGCGCTACTCTATCTGTCTCCTGAAGATAAAGTTAGATTTGTGGCATTACTTTAAAGTAATAATTAAATATGCAGTTAGTCCATTTATGGCTGTCATTGAGATTGGAAGCATTCGTTATTGCCTGTTTTCCTATTACTCTTCTTGCTAATGAAGCTGATCTTTACAAGATGGATGGGCACAGTCCTTGTGGTCCCCTGCCTGACGCTCAGGCTCAGTAGGGTTTGCCGTACGCATGTGAGATCTTGATTCTCCTACTACTTTATTCATACCTGTTAGACCTGCATTTGTGCAGCCAGTCATGGTGACATGTGGCCTTTGGTGCGTATAAATCCAGATGAAAATGTGGGCTCCAAAATCTTATTATAGGTTCACACTGGGCTACAGGCATCCCATCCAGATGATTGAGAATACCCTTGTATTAATATAAGACTAAGTTTTTCACTGACATGAGAGCATACGATTTTAAAACTTCTGTAGACTGCCAAGAACACACCCAGAGATGGCTACAATATTCCTGCCCACTTCCGGAGCCAGCATCCTGGAGCCCAGCCCCACCTTGGTGACCCGTCCTCCCTGCCTCATACCTGCCCGCCTTGGTGCCTGCTTTTCATCACTGGGTTGATGGTGTGGTTTAGACCTGCCCCCTGCCTGTGACTCCATGGTTGGGCTGCCTCTGTGACTCTCTGGCTGCTTTCTCCAGCATCTGAGGATGAAGTCCCTTCCCCGAGTCTTAGCCCCTGTCACCAGGGAGCCTGGCCAGACAGGATGTGACTCTCCACAGAGGACATGGGACTATCATGTGGGGGCTGTGCAAAGGTAGACCAGAGCGGGGCAGGCCTCAGAGCGACGTGGAGACTTAAGGGGTCTGGTCTTTACCCTGTGGGCCCTGGAGAGCCACTGCCAGCTTTTTGAGGGACAAAGTGATGTGCTTTGCTTTGTGTTTGGGGGGGATCACTCTGGGGGTCACACCCTTCTGATTCCAGGGGCTGCCATGAAGCAACCATAGTTTGTGCAGTTTCACAAATTCAACCTGATAATTTCCTCTTTGATGCAGTAGGCATCCCTGGAAAAAGTTAAATGGAGAACTAATCACTCAAATCTATATTTCCCATAAATGAAATTTACCACAATCATTCCTGTTCTTGACAGTTTTGCCACTGAAAAGATGGTCTTTGGAATCATCATTCAGTTTTCTTGTGTTTCACCTGGGCTTCTTGAGTCCCGTGAGTCTAGAGCCCACCAACCACATACAGGAATTATTGTGAGAACTTTCATGTGTGCCTGGAGTTGCTGGGGGAGTATCTGATGACTCTGTGATACACGGATCTTGTTCTTTGCAAGGATTTAATTGAATTACAGAATGCACCACCCAGAGAGTACAAGCTGCAGTCCCGGGATATTACAGTGCCCGATCCCTCTTTTCCTTTGTAATTGTTACTCTAAAGCACAGTGGTGTTCTCTGACCAGTTCTGGGTTGGACCTTATTTTCCGTGTCTTTAGTGGGGTCACTGCCGGATCTTATTTCATGTTCTCTGCAGGGGGTCATTGCTCTTCTGCTGTGTTTCCAAGCTCTCCTTTTTGGCATTTTTCCTTTTCACCTTGTGACGGTAGAAGCGAATGTTTGCACAGTTGGCTTTTCCATTTGTGATGCCTGTGTGGAGTGCAGGGAGAGGAGGGAAGGGCACAGGGAGAAGCCACACCATCTCCAGGGCCTGAGAGGCCGTTGCCTCGTTCCTATCCTCTTTTCAGAGGGATGAAGAGGTAACTCCGAATGAAGGAACGATTGAAAACCTGAGAATAATTACCCGCTGAGAAGCTATGCAGACCGCTGCCCTCTTCAAACGTTGAAAGTTATTATAAACAGTTTGTAAACATGAACCCAAAGAATTTGGACAAAGGCGTGGAGCAATGGTTGTCACATGTCTAAGTTATAAAAGGAAAATCAAGTGGGAAACATGTATTTCTGCTGCCATTTTCCCGCTCACATCATCCTATGAGGCAAACCAAGCATAATCAACAGTTTCAAAGAGGAACTTAGAGGAGGGTTTAGGTCAGAGCTGCCTAAGAGAACCTGCAGCATCAAGGCAAATGTTCTCTACCTGCACTGCCCAATAGTCCAGCACTAGGCACGTGTGCTATTGAGTGCTTGAGATGTGCAGGAGTAACTAAGGGACTGAATTTGTCATTTAAAACCATTTTAATTCACATAAGTAACCACGTATGGCTCGTGGCTATTATATTGGATGGGC